>NC_000013.11:70377802-70529318 GCF_000001405.40 Homo sapiens | reverse complement strand
TTGCACAGGCTCTGAATTACGAGTGTGATCAATCTTTCTGAGGAAATTTCCATCCTTACATGCAATGCCTTGGTATTGCAAATACATTTATCAACATTATAAACTCATTTTACAGCTTAGACTAAGCATTGAGTTATTATGCCACTATTGAATATTTTTAGATAAATATGCATGTAGATTCATTTGAACCTTTTGGAATTAATGTTAACTCTTTTATATCCAACCACATTGAACATTAACTCATAGACATCTGAAGATCTGTTCATAGATTTCAGTCTGGTTCGAATATTATAATATTAAAATGCAAGCTACTTTTTAAACATCTTAAATACTTTCTCCCCATTTTCAGTCAGAGCTTCTTAACTCTGTCTAGAAACATATTGCAAAAATAGAGGAAACCTTAATTTGTTTTTCTGACCCTACCAATCTTACTGTTTAAAGAACTTTTCTTCATTTACCTAAATGAGAAAGAAAAAAAATAAAATTGAATTGAGATATGTGCTTTATAAGGAAACATAACCCATTACATATTTTACTACTAATACTTTTTTATTTTTTCGAGATGGGTCTCACTTTGTGCCCAGGCGGGAGTGCAGTGGCACAATTACAGCTCACTACATCGTTGAACTCCCAGGTTGTGTATCCCTCCTGCCTGGCCTCCCAAGTAGCTGGGACTATATGTGCGCACCACCATCCCCAGCTAAGTTTTTGTTTGTTTTTCAACTTTGGGTAGAAATGAGGTCTCACTGTGTTGCTCAGACTAGTCTCAAACTTCTGGGCTCAAGTGATCTGCTTGCCTCAGCCTCCCAAAGTGCTGGGATTATAGGCATGAACCACCACACTCAGCCTATTACTATTTAATACTATTTTTATAACATGAACAAAGCACCAACAAAAATGTATTTCTACTATAAATATTCAAAGATGGTTTTTCCTTACTAATCAGAATGTCATTTTCCTATTTTCTTTATATTTTGTCTTATGCTATTTAATTCAATAGTTGAGCAGTTGATTTATATGAAATTCTGTTTCTAATGCCCATATGTTATTAGGGATGAATTATTTCAAATACCTAAGAAGTTAAAAAAAAATCTCAATGGGTATTTAACCTTGACAAAAATAAAGTATTTAAAAATATCAATAAAATTTTCATTTTTAAAAAATACTTAAAAACAAATCTTATGTTGTATATTTAAGGTATACAACATGATGTTATAAAATACATACAGGTAGTAAAAAAATTACTATATGGATGCAAATTAAGGTATGCACTATATCACATACTTATCCATTTTTTTGTTTTTTGTGGCAAGAACAGCTCAAATGTACTCATTTAGCATGAATCCCAAATATTGTTTAATTTTATTACCTGAAGTCCTTATTGGATCTCTAGACTTGTTTAATCTAAATAGCTGCTATTTTATGTTCTTTGATCTATATCTCCCTATTCTCCCCAGAACCCACCCCTAGCAACCGTTGCTCTCTGTATACGGTCGATCCTTGAATAACACAGGTTTGAACTGCATGGCTTCTGGCAGCAACAGAACATTGCTAATGTGCACTCGCTCTAGTGTGCCACATGCTTGGCGTCTGTGGGAGCCAGGGCACTGCCTCAGCTATGGTGCCAGCTGGGTGGGAATGTGACTGCTCTGGTTTGTAGGGGGCCTGAAGTCCCTGTTTTATTAAACTATTAAGACTATTCTGAAAATTTATTTTATTGCAAAACTAAGCTTAATCCACTTGTCATCCTATAAATATCCAAACAGAATAAAAAGATTCATTATTTACTGCACATAAGTATGTTCACGAGTCTGAAAACACCTCAAATTTTTAATGTTAATTACAGTAGAATATCAATGTGGATTGGTTTATATTATGATTTTATTTATTATCATACCACAGAGGAAATCAGATACTCCAATGGGATATTTATTCTGATAGCAACAAAATTATCAATTAGTTATGGTCTGTAAACATAATAGAATTTTTAAAAATATTCTCAGATTTTTATTACCCTTCTTCAAGTTTGTGTGTGTATGTGTATACCTGTGCTTGTGTGTGCATTATTAATCCTGTTTAATGATCACAATGACCTTATGAGGAATTGTTATCAACCTTTATATTACAGTTGAGGAAACTGAAATACAGTGAGATTAAGTAACACTCTTGTTCTTTTCTGTTTCTGTGTAAAATCTCTCTCCAAACCTAGTGACTTAACCTGAATACTTAATTTTGCTTATGAATTTGCAGATCAAAAATTTGGAAACGTCATTGTTGACTAGTTCTCTCATCAAGACAAAGTTTTTGGCAACTGTGGCTGGAAAATCCACCTCCAACCCAAAATGTCTTCACTTGCATACTCGATACCTCACTGCCTCTGTGCCTCTCTTTCTGTGTATGAAGAGTGTCCTTGCAGCTTGCACTTATCAGAGCATGGCAATCTCATTAATAAAAGTAAAGAATGAGAAAACAGTAAAGCCTTCAATTACCGTTAATCAAGGAAGTCAGGGATATTAGCATAAGGAGAGTTTCAGATAATATAAGAACACCTTTATAACTTACCTAAGTCTTTTTTAACCTCTATATTTTATAGTGAATAACAGAATACATTTAAGATATGTTTATTATTAAGACTATAAAAGTAGCGGTAATAAGAGATACTATCACTTCACTAAGCAAATTTTTCTGGGGGTGGAAAATATGTAAAAAAAATAAGATGAGGGAAAAATTCTATGTTCATAGGATCTGTTTGGGAGGTAAGAGGCTTGTCAAAGGAGTGTGTCAAGCAGTCTTTTTGGAAAATTAACATTTAGGGTTTGTTTTGTAGATTTCTCAAATACACAAAGAAAATTTGACGTGCTGTTAATTATAGAAAAGACGTACAATATTCTTTTCTTATAATATTCTATGTCTTTTACTATTTTGTAAGGGCAAAATATCATACAACACACAAAAGATAATTTATTTTAGCTTTCTTTGACATTGAAGTTAATCATTCATCTCTCTTTGACAAAATTTATCACCTTAGAAGCCTGGATAATAAATCTGTATAGGGAGATATTGGCTTTGCTGATAAAAATACTTTAATAGTAGTATCAGGTTCCCTGTGGAATGAAGAATATGCTCCACATGATAAGCGAAAAGGAAGAATGGCCCTAAAAATGGGGTTCAGGAATAAAGACTTGAATAAAACAAGTCCAGTTGGAAACTTTCAGTGAAATGTTAAGACCTGGGTCATGTCACCCTTCCCAGTCATCACCTGCTCTTCTTCCACCCCATCAATTACATAACAAAATTGCAAAGTTATATTATACTTGATTTGATTACATTTATTGTGAAAGCTCAATCAGCAATATGTTTATATCCACCTTGATACCTGACTGAAAACTGTAAGTCAGAGGAAATTATAGGTGGGTTACATCTATCTGCCTTAATATGTAGCAGAAAGGGTATAGAAGAATTTTAGTTAATAAATTACTACAACGAGATGTCAGATATTTCTAAACTTTGATTTTTTAAAGACTCTTTCTTAAATTTTAAAATATTTAAGATAAATTATAAAATTTTAATATTAGCTATAGTCACCTTGCGGTGAAAGAGGTCACCGGAATTGAGTCGTCCTTTCTAATTAAAATGTTGTACGCTTTGACCAACATTTCTTTCTTCTCATCCTCCTGCCGTCCCCTGGTAACCCCCATTCTACTCTCTACTTATATAAGTTTAACTTTTTTAGATTCCACATGTAAATGAGATCATGCAATATTTGTTTTTCTGTGCCAAACTTATTTCACTTAGCATAATGTCCTCTAGATTCTTCCATGTTGTCAAAAATGACAGAATTTCATTCTTTGGAAAGGCTTACTAGTATTCCATTGTGCATATATACCATATCTTAAAAACCCACTCTGTTGCTTCTGAGAACTTAGGTTTTTATCCACATTTTGGTTATTTTGAATAATGCTGCAAGGAATATGGTATAGCAGACATCTCTATAGTTATTAATAATAATGTATTATATATTTCAAAATTGCTAAAAAAAGTAGATTTCAATGTTCTCACAACAACGGAATGATAATTATGTGTGGAGATGGATACATTGATTAGCCTGATTTGCTCATTCTACCATTCATACATGTATGGAAACATCACACTGGACTCCATAAGTATATACAATTATTATCTTTCAGTCAAAATAAAATATATTTGTAAAAATACTTTAATATTGGAATTATATATGGATTTTTAAAATTTATATATTATAGTTTCTATTTCCTGAAATAAGGGGAAATAAAGCATGAAAGTACCACTTTGTGTTGCTAAAGGCTTTGAATAGGAATAATGCACATTATTTCTACACATAATTCCATTGCGTGCCCTTATGTAAATGCATGTGAGGCTGGGATACGTTGTTTGCCAAGTGACCAGAAAGAAGAACAGGTGTTAGATTAATAGCTAGCGGTCTCTACCCCATGTGGCATGAAACCATGGTGCCTGCCTTTTTATCTTATATGATCTGGCTATAGAAATATATCTGCATATGTCTGTGATCATGTGCACCACTTTTAACCAAGATTATTTTGAAATTGTTGTCCATTGCTTTAATTTTATAATAAATATGAATTATTTTAGAACAGTAAGTATTTAAACAAAGAAATGAAACAACCCTTTTGTCAAATTTCTAATATAACCCACACACTTTTCTAGGTATTAGGACTTTGGAGATAAATTTTGATGTTCTTTCACATTTGTAAGACAGAAAAGTATCTAATAAAGTATACATAGAATTTTATGAAAACAAAAAAATATGAACTTAATACATCCTGAGTGTTCAAAACAAGTTTCTTGGAGAAGATAATGTCTACTGTGCATCATGAAAAACAAATGTAGTCATATTCTGGGGGTGTGGGGACAGGAGAGCATTTACAAATTCTCCCAAAATGTGTAATCTATATGTTACCTAGAGGATATGAAAATACCACCATGTTCTAATTTGGTCACAGAAAAAAATGAGAAATTTTCAAAATGTGGGTAGAATGAATATAACTTTATCATAGTTGTCTTCAAAAAGTTCATGGAAAAATGCATATTATGATAAAAACTATCCACCGGTTTAAAATTTTCTTTTGTACCAAAATAAACTCATACTAACTTGTTAAAGCATGGCTGAACAGGGTCTAGTGTGAGGCACTAAGAAAGATAACACATCAGTTTGAAAAGAACCCTTATCAGAAAAACATGGATTATGCTAAAATTTAAGCAAGAACAATATCAAATTTGTGGTAAAGCCTGAGTAGAAGAATGGTGAAATCATGTATGCTTTCCAAAATTTGTGGGAACAACATCCTGAAGAAATTAGCAGCCTACAAACGGATAACATGATTTAAGCAGAAACGAGAAAATGTTGAAGATACAGCTGATAGCAGAAGACCATACACATCTATTTTGGGAAGAAAAAGTTAATTTTGTCCATGCCCTCATTAAAGAGCACTGATGACCAGCAGCACAAACAATATCCAGTACCACAGACATCTCACTCTGGTCATCTTACATAATTCCTAGGAAAAAATTAATGGAGAGCAGATGTTCCATTGGATGGGTGCCAAAACCACTCCTTCCAGATAGCTGCAGAAAAGAGAAGACTTGTTTTACATTGTAAACAAGTGGGATCAAGATCCTGAAGCATATCTTCAGATAATTGTGGCAAGAGGTGAAACATAGTTTTACCATCCTGAAGACAAAGCACAAGCAAAACAATGGGTACCAAGAGGTGAAAGTTATTTAGCAGAGCAAAAGCAGATGGGTCAAGAGCAAGGATCGTGGCAACAGCTTTTTGAGCTGCTCAAAGCACCTTGCTTGTTGACTTTTTGGAAGGCCAAAGAATGATAGCACCTGCTTATTATGAGAACATGTTGAGAAAGTTAACCAAAGCTTTATGAGGAAAACTCCCAGGAAATCTTCACCAGAGAGTTCTTTTCCACCATAACAATGCTCCTGCTCATTCCTCTCAGCAAACAAGGGCAAATTTGTAAAAGTTTCAATGAGATATAATTAAGCATCCACCTTAAAGTCTTAATTTGTTTATTTCTAACTTCTTTTTATTTCTTAATCTTAAAAATTCTTTAGAGGGCGCATATTTTTCTTTAGTTGATAATATGAAACAGAGAGCATTGGCTGGGTTAAATTCCTGGTACCCTCAGTTCTTTAGGAATGCTAAATGGCTGCTATCATCCCTTACAAAGTGTCCTGAATTTGGTTGAGAAACAGTTTATATTTCTTATTTTTATCTTTTCCTTCCATTTTCCATGTATTTTTGAAGTCCCCTATATGACAGTATAGTATTAAATATAATAGCATATATAATTTGTGTATAGTATTAAAATACAGAGTATTTATAATATAAATAGTAGTTTATATTATATGTATTAGTATACATATATGTATTACATTATAGTAGTGTAACATTACATATAGGTTATTTATGCCACATATTACATAAAATATATGTGCTGATATTTAGTAAAACTCCATACTTTTTACTTGAAGTTTCAAGAAGAAAAAAGTAATCTAGGAATAATTTTTAAATATTTTAAACAAGAAACATATAATTACAAAACAATATTATTAAATACAGAGATTTTGAATGATACTTTTCACCTCTGTTTTTAAAAGGTAGACACATATTAGTAAGTTTCTATTAAAAATGGTCAAAATAAGTTAGCATCATCACACTTTCTCCAACATTCCTTTCCTGCATCCTAATTTTAAATATGTAATATAAGTATGTATTATATGCTTTATGTGTGTAGTATATGTATTATGTATGTAATCTATATATACAATTTATATTGTATATTTATTCTTTATAATGTTTACATCATTTATATTTTATAAATCCACAAGATGGATAGCTTTAGTTTTACAATTAAGTTCATTATTCACAATCAGTTCTCTTTCCCAAACCTTTCCCATTTCTTTTTTTTCTTTTCTTTCTTTCTTTCTTTTTTTTTTTTTTTTTTTTTTTTTTGAGTTTTGCTCTTGTTTCCCAGGCTGGTGTGCAGTGGCACAATCTCAACTCACTGCAACCTCCACTTCCTGGGTTCAAGCGATTCTCCTGCCTCAGCCTCCCAAGTAGCCGGGATTACAGGCACACGCCACCACTCCCAGCTAATTTTTTGTATTTTTTTTTTTAGTAGAAACAGGGTTTCACCATGTTAGCCAGGCTTGTCTCAAACTCCTGACCTCAGATGATCTGCCCCCTTTGGCCTCCCGAAGTGCTGGGATTATAGGCGTTAGCCACCGCACCCAGCCATCCTTTTCCATTTCTAAGTCTTTTGAGTTATTTTTTGGTTTGCTGAAGTTTCTTACTTAGTAATAAACTTTATATTTAATTTCAACAGAAGTTAATGGGTACTGTATTCCTTCAGGTCTTGAAAGTGTTAATTTGTCTGCTTTCTATGTTTATAACTAAAGGACAACTTTATTGACATGAAATTATTCATCATACATTCATTTCCAAATTTTTAGACATTTTGCCAATATGTACTGTCATAAAAAACTGCTATGAAAAGTCTGAGGCTAATCTCTATTCCCCCCACTCCCCATTCATGACTTTCTTCTGTCTTGATTTTCAAATGTTTTTAAAACTTTGAATCGTGTTTTTAGATCACAATATTCTCTTTCAATCTCCAATACAGGTATTATTGAATGTCATAATCTATATCTTTGATGTTTTAAAATATATTCTATGTGTTGTTCAATTTTTAAGAAATATTCATTATTAAAATATCAATCTAATATTACTTTACACATCTGTGGTCTTTTCTGTGTTTTATGCTTGTTTTTATTTTCCACAGTAAAGCATTGTATTAATTCATTAATTAATGCAACATATTAATTAATTGTAATTATTGTAATATAATTGTAATTCATTAATGAATACAATGTATTAATTCATTAATGAATACAATGTACTGTGTAAAACACAATTCATGTTTACTAGATTTTTCTGCTATTTCTAATATGGTTTTTATGTTTTCATTGTTTTCTTGAAATTTGCTCATGTAATCATTTCACTTGGATATCAAATGATTTTTGTCTTTGACATTCCGTATTTCTTCCTTGGTCTCTTCAAAAAATCTGACAAATTCCTTAGATGCTATAGAAACTATTTTCTTATTTCCTTTGAAAACTCTTGTCAGTTTTTTTTCATTTTCCTTGATTTATTTTCTTGATCCTTTTCTCTCTGTGTCTTCAAACAGAACTTGTATGCATTATTTTTTTCTATTCTTTCTTAATTTTGCATGTAAATATCACTTATATTCTATTAAGAGGAAGTGAGGCAGGCTATTATTTATACTTGATTTTGTCTTTACAGATACCCCCTTCACTGAATCCTTTACACTATAGCATTTCTCCCGTTGATTGTTGACATTTATGGGTCTGTGGCTCACAGCAAAGTCCTCTAATTACAGTCTATCTGTGATGAAATCTTGGAATTACCTTATTTCATTGCTTCACCCTGTGTAACTTTTGGGAATGTCTACAAGCTGCAGTTTAGAAAAAAAAAAATGTATTAACTTGTCCTAAATAGCAAAACTCTGTTAGCACTGAGAATGGAAATTAAGCAAAATTCTCTGATACTGTGTTAAAAAAGAAAAAAACAAGACCAAGAAAGCAAATAAGTTAGCTGCTTGCTACTGAAAATGCTTTCTGAGAAAGACAATATGTACCAGGTTTTTTTTTTTTTTATGAAAACTAACAGCTCACCCATAAAAAAGTTCCAATAAATAGCCTGCTCATCAAGACTGCTTAAAGATCTTTGGTTTCCTATGCCTTTGAGCCAAAGCAATGACGTCATAAGTTCTTCAACATCTCAGTGAGTTCTCCACCTTGTCAAATTCACTCTACCCAAGAAACTCTCTGCCAATGCTGTTGTCCCCTTCAGTTTGACCTCTTTTTGAAATTTAATGGAGTAGAATCAAATCTACCTTAGTAATATTTCTCTCCTTCAAAAGTTAATCACACTCTTATACCTCCATTTAGGGGCCAAATAGAGAGGGCTGCTGTATTAACAAAGCCTGAAGAGATGTATGTATGCTTTTAGGGTTCTTTTATTTTTTTTTCCTTTTCATTTTAGTCTGCATTTCATTGCACTGTTATAGAAAAATATACATTACAGTTTTGCTGCCTGAGAATTGGGCTATTTCCTGTTTGCTTTTCTATTTCAGGCAGGATCTTACTCTGTCACTGAGGCTGAAGGGCAGTAGCTGGATCAAGTCTCACTGCAGCCCGCAACTCCAGGGATCAAGTTATCATCCCATCTCACCCTCCCTGGTAGCTGGGACTACAGCCGAGTGCCAACATGCATGGCTATTTTTTTTTCTTTTCTTTTCTTTTTCTTTTTTTTTTTTTTTTGTAAAGACGGTGTTCCTTCATATTGACCAGGCTGGTCTCAAACTCCTTGGCTCCAGCGATCCGCCTGCCTCGGCCTCTCAAAATGCTGGGATTACAGGCATGAGAGACCACGATCGCCCTGTTTGCTTGTTTTAATAAAAATGGGGGCTGTTTATATTTTTTTCTTTTCTGTTCCTTTTCTGTTGCTTAGAGAACAGAAAAGGTCAATGTTATTGCATTGTTTCTTTGAAGATGTAGTTGTTTCTTCGAATCCTTTTTTGTTGGAGGGAAATGAAGAATATACATACTCACCAGTTTTAATTGGAATTATCTCAGTAATGCATTATTTAAATAAACTAAGCATCAATATGTTGAACAAGAAAACAAGATCACGATTTCAAGATTTTTATTATTTAGATGGAAATCCATTGTGTGTGTGAACATATAAAAATCCTCAGAATGAATTTTTACACTCTATCATTTCACAGATGAGGAGATTGAGTTTAAAATTGCATTTATTCTTAAAGTTTACATTTCCAATAGCCCTGGAAGCACTAGGTTTTAGTCTCTATCCCATTTGCTTATTTTGGTTGTCACATTGCCTGAATTCCAATCAGAAGAATTAGTTTCTATGGCAGAATTAGTTTCTATTGATCTCCGTGCTGATGGTAACTGCCTCCTAACCGACCAAACTATGGTTGGTCATAAAGTTTCATTTTCTCACTATTAGCTTCTATATGCTACAAGTTTGCCTTTTTGTTGTCTTCCTGAATAAAAAAAAAAAAGGGAAATAGGGTTTTGCTATACACATAAGCATTATAAATTTTCTCTTATAATCAGAAAACAAGCTACCTTGCTGGGTATTCACACATTGCTTATTGGATCCAGTTATTTATTATAATTAAAATACATGAAGAAAGGTTTTATGATGAGGGATTGTGTAGTTAATCATTGACCATGGCATTCTTGAAAAGGAAATCTTGAAGCATCTTTACAAATTACTTCTTTGGGATAAAAATACAACCAGTTTATGGACAGATAGCCGATGCAAATTTCTCAGCAGTGACAGGAAACATACCAGAGTTAATTACAAATCTGGATTTCTTAGCCTAGAATAAAATAGCCTTTTCTTAAGTCTAAAATTAGTTCAAAGTAAATGTGAGCTAGTTCCCTCCTTCTTTCTTTCTTTCTTATCTTCCTTTAAAATTAAGTTTTAAAACTCAGAGTAAAAAATCAGAATGGTATTTTACAATGCTAAATACTCACTACTATTTATATGTGTTTCCCTTTTTATGTTGAAAACAAAGCTTTCCATTGGATTATGTACTTATTAAGTACATTTACTTACATAAATGAACATAGTAAAATGATTATGTCTTGGTCTATTAATTAGAGAATAGCTTCTGATGTGAAATATTTCAAGTAGAATCAGATTATATTTACCAACATTAGGTTTGAGAAGAGAAATAACAAGGGTGAATGAAGGAAAACTAAACATTTTTCTCTTTCAATTGATTCAGTTTTACTAGACCTGGCATTGAAACATAAATAAATATGGAAAAAGAAGACAACACTTATCCTTTGTCAGGTCTAAGATATGGGAGATACATGTTCTTGTCTCCCCATTTCCGTACACTGAACTTTGCATCCACTGACACAAATACGTTTTGTTTATGGGATGAATAGCAGCTTTAAGTGCCTTTGAGTTAAGGAATAGAAAATAAGACTTTAAGTGGCCAGCTGATTTCCTGGATACACTTAAAGATATATTTAATAGAAAATGACAAAACTGTTGACTAAATTGTTGTGTTAGAAGATTTTTAGCTGTCAGTGACTGAAAATTCAAAGTTATAGTGGCTTATCTAAAAGAATTTTATTTCATTTTAATGTAAGTAAAACACACCAAGTGATATGTTGCCCAGGTCTAATGTTTTTGGATCGTGGTATCAGAGAATGTTTCTATCTTGTTCTCCACCATTCACATATTACAGCTTTCACCATTATAATCTTACCCCAGACCCCAGAAAAGATGGGAGAAAAGGGAATGGAATAAGGAAAAAAATTCTCCCAAAAGTGCACACTCCACTTGCTATTAAGTCCTATTACAAAGTTCTCATATTTCTATATCTAGATGCTAGGGAAGTCAAGGTATGTAAATGTTATTTTGGGTGTTCATAGCCCAGTGAAAAAATGGAGAGTTTTATTACTCAAGAAGGGGGAGAAATTGATTTTGAAGGACAACTAGTGATCAGTTACACTGTTACAACATACTAAGTTTTCAGACTCAATTATGAAATATACTGTAACATGTAAATTAGAATGTAAGCTTCTTGAGACCAGGGACTTCTACTTCTCAGTTTTGTAAATGCTGTATCCCCAACATGTAGCAGCCTATCACATCATAGGTACGTAACAAAAATTTGGTATTTTAATTGCTTTATTGAGGTATGATTGACATAACAAGGCTCTACATATTTAATGTATATAATTTGATGAGTTTGGAAATAGGTGTACACCTGTGAAATCATCATCACAATGTATGTCATAAAACTATTGTAACCTACAAAAGTTTTCCCTCATCTTTTTTACTTATAATAACAATTATTCTTTGTACTATCATTTTGTGATATGAACACTTAACATCTACACAAAAAATTGTTGAAGGAATACATGTCCTGATAAAGTGGAATAAGCTCAGAAACGATGAAACTTAGATTTCAATTTTGGTTCTTAGATTTTTCTTTTTTTCTCTGCTTGAATATGTGCCCATTACTTAATGTCTCAGTGCCTTATTTTCCTCTTTTTTCAGTAGGGTTTGGTCCATTTATCCTAGGAGACTTTTTATAGCACCAATCAAGACCTGAACTATATAGAAAAAAATGCCCAACCCGGACTCCTATAACTTTTTAAATTGTAAAGAAAATGTTTAGAAAGAATATTTTTTATTAAAGTACCTCTTGCTTATAGAAAAGTACACATAAATGCATAGGGAAATTTTTCACAAATTAAACAAGTCTCTTTAACCAGCAGACAGATTAAGATATAACATATTTTTGGTATCTTCAAAGTCTTATTATCCCATCTAGTCACTACATTCCAAAGCTAACTACTAAAATGACATTATCACCATAGACATATTTTTAAAGCTTTAATATGTTTGGCTTTTTTCCATTAGGATGATGTTTTTGACATTCATGTAATTTTGCATGTAGAAATATCTTCTTTATTCTCATTGCTGTATTCATTGACCATATATCTATATCTATATAGCACTGTATATCATTTATATATTATTATATACATATAATAATAGCTATGTACATTATATATGTATCTTTATATATAATACATATCAGCTATTTCATATATTTATATATAGTTATAAATGATGTGCATGTGTATTCACACACACATGCACACACACATATGCATCCTAGTGTTGATAGAATTGTGGATTATTTCCAGTTTGAGCTGTAGATATATACATATGCATTCTAGTGTTGACGGAATTGTGGATTATTTCCAGTTTGGGCTGTTATAAAAAGTGCTGCTGAGAATATTCTCATATATAATCTTCTGGTGATGACTAGAATTTCTGCTAGAAATTATTTCTGTATCATAGGAAATGAAATGTTTTAATAGATATTGCCAAACATTTTCTCCCAAAAGTTATACGATGTGTACTCCCATTATCATTATGTGATAGTTGCTGTTGATCTATGTGATTATCAAAAACTAATTTTAACTTTCAGACTTTTAGCCATTCTGGTAGGTATGTGGTAATATTTCATTGTGCTTTTAATTTGCATATCCCTGTTGAGTAGTGCTGATGAGATTTTTATAAGGTTTTTAGACATGTGATTTTTTCTTCTGTAAAATGTGCAGTCTTTAATCATTTTATTTTCTTAATTACTGAGACTTTAATATTCCATGTAGATACCAGTCATTTGTTAGATATGTGAATTATAAATATCTGGTGCAGTTGTATAGTTTACATTTTTATTCTCTTAATGTGGCACTTGAGTGAGTAAAATTTAATAAGTCGAATGTATGTCAATTTACATTTTCTTTATAATAGTACTTCTTAAAAAAACTTTGACAATAACAGGTTCATAAAGATATTCTTAAATTTCCACCCCAGAAGCCTTATTATTTAGTCATTTTCATTTAAAATTGTACTCTATTTGGAATACATATTTTTATATGGTAGAAAACGGGTTAGTATTCAGTTCATATAGTGTCTTAATCCATTTTGTGTTGCTATAAAGAAACACGTGAGTTTGAGTCTAAAGAGGTTTATTTGGTGCATGGTTCTGCAGGTTATTCAAGAAGCATGGCACTAGCGTCTGTTTCTCATCAGGGTTTCAGGCTGCTTTTACTTATGGCAGAAAGCAAAAGGAAGCTGGCATGTGACAAGTTCTCATGGCATGAGAGAAAGCAAGAGAGAGAGAAGGTGAAGCACCAGGTCTTTTTTGTTTGTTTGTTTGTTTGTTTTAACCAGCTTTCTCAGGAACTAATAGAGCAAGAACTCCCTCCTCAGGTCTCACTCCAGGACATTAATCTATTCATGAGGGATCTGCTCCATGACCTAAACACCTCCCATTAGGCCCCACCTCCAACATTGGGGATCAAACGTCAACACAAGATTTGGTGGGGACAAGCACCCAAACTATACCATATAGTTAGCCAACTAATCCAGCATATTTGTTCAGGAGGATATCCTTTTCCCACTGCACTGCAGATAAACCTTTGTCATATGTCTTTTGATGTATGTATATGGGTCTGTTTGGGCACTTTTGTTCCATTCCATTTGTCTTATTTGTTTTCCTGGTTTCAAGAGACACGTATTTCTTGTTATATCTAAACATAAGTTTTGAGATCTATTAGTTAAGGTGTTAATTTTTTGCTTCCTCAATATCACCTTGGCTATTCATTTTTACATTTTCATATAAATTTAAGAAACAACCTGTTAGTTTTCATACAAGCAGATAATACTAATAATTATTACTGCTATTCTTATTATTGTAACTATTATAAACATTTAGGGGTTTTGTTTGAGATTGAAGTGAAACTATGGTTTAATTTGGGTACAACTGACATCTTTAAAAATAATTCAAAAATATTGAATATTCCAGTACATTGATATGGTTTCTGTGTATGTATCTATGCCTCCTTTCGTGTATCTCAATGATGTTTTATCATTTTTTATAGTATTCTTGCACATACTTTACTTTTAATTACACATTTCAGCTTTAATCTCAAGGATTTTAACCTTTCAAGTATGGTTGTCTTGACAGTGTAAAACTCTGTTTATTCTTTCCCAAGTTTTTGTTTTTGATTTGCTTATTTATTTGTTTTCAATATATTATATGTTATAAATATTATGACGATTTAGGAAATAAATATACACAATCATTTTCTTCTATAAAAATGAATACTATCTTTTTTTTGTCTTTTAAATATATATTTTAAATAGTTATGATGTATATACAAATCGCCATCTTGGTTTTTCATTTTACATATCATAAATATTATTTAATATATCTACATATTTTCTGTTACTATCACTTTTTAAGACTGGATAACATTTTTCTCTAGTGAACAATGCACAAATTATATAATAATCCCCCTGTTAATAGATACAAACTTTTTTTTTTTATCAAAAGAAACTGAACATTCTGCCCATAAAGCATTCATATTTCAGATAAATTTCTTAAGGCATATTTTCTGAAGTGGAATTATCTGGTCAAAAACTATAAGCACTTTGATATTTGTTTGATATGTCTTGCTATCTGCTATGCAATGGCTTTTACCTACTCAGAGTACCGATAGCAGGATGCAAGAAAATAGTCATTTCTGTATGTTCACCATCTGTATGCAACACCATTTAAAAAGCAGTAACAAAAGACCTAATACATCTTTGATTATCCTTTATTTTGTTTGCATTTACATTGAACATTTTAATCTATGTTTGTTCACTGGTTATGTTTCTTCTGCTGTGTATTATCTGTTAACCGACTAAGAGTCAGAGAGAAGCCTTGACTAAATTTGTGCATGTTGGTAACCTTACTGCCATTGCTTTAGGAAAAATAACCTTTGACTGAACAATAGTGTTTTTATATGCAGCATTGCATGCGGATGTCTGCTCCCATGAAATTAAAAATAAAATCTACTTTAAATTTTTTGAGTTTGGAAACTAAGCGACCTGGAAGCTGCCACTATAGATAAAGAACCAATGAGAGAAGTTCAGACAGGACTGCCCTGAACTCGAACTTCTCTCTAGGGCTTGGATACCATTGTTTTCTATAGAAATGAGGACACCAACATTCAGAAGGTAAAGAGAAATTCTGGGGGCCTGAGGTGCACAGTATTGACTTTTGTGTATCTTCCTTGATGCTAAATCCAGTGTCTTAATCTTCTCAGTATCGTTGGTCAAATCAATGCCCAGACATAGCACAGAGACTTCCTCGATTTTCTCATCACTTCCCACTTCATCACAACCCAAGAATATCCTTGGATAAGTATAATGGATTGTGGCTTTAAATGTCATATTCAGAGGGACAAGTGCTAATGACCCAAATGTGCTCTGTCTATGGCATGACCTCTTCACATTATATTGTATATCCTCCATAATGTGCACTGTCTAGCATCTCCTCACGTAAATAATCTATTAATAAATACTCTTATGCATGCTCTCCTTACATTGCATGTTACCTTTTTACATTACAGATGCATGTATGTTTCTTCCATGTACTTATCCACAGAGTATAGAAGTAATTAGGCAGACTTGTGAATGCCCTGTGGCCTTAGAACACAAATCCAACAAAGATAGAACTAAAATGCTAGCAGCTTATTTCTTTGCTTGCAGAAAAGAAGATATCCTTTCATCTGAAATAAATTTTTTATCTATCTGTCTATTATCTATCTATGTATCTATCTATCTATCTACCTATCCATCTGCCTATCTATCTCAAAGTCATGACATTCTAATATACATCTGGGTGCCATATATAGTGCCTGCAACTGGGTCATAAATGGAATTCAGCATACTGGGGACTGAGTGTGGCTCCAGGGAAATGTACCAGCATAAGTCACCAAGCCAGCTATAAGTCACCAATCTGTATTCTTGATAGGACAGTGTTGGAGCAACAGCAGCTTCTCATAGTCCTGGGGGTACTTATTCCCCTTATAAGTCAGTGTTCCTGCAAACTTGTCTACTTGTTATTAGAAGGCTCATATGTCACTTGTTCTGGAGGAAAATTAAAGCATAAATGAGAGAGTCTTGGTTTTGTCATGGTAGACTTTTCTTGAGAGGATGGAAGGAGGCTTAAGAGAAAAAAGAAAGAAATCCCCTTTTTCTAAATGCAGATACGTCCTTTCTATCTTCTCTCAGGTACTGCCTATTCTTTACTAGCACCCTGCAGAAAGGCAGACAATGGTTTCTGGGCATCAAAGTGAGAGGTGACAGCGTGCTGGCAGTCCTCACAGCCCTTGCTCGCTCTCAGCGCCTCCTCTGCCTGGGCTCCCACTTTGGCGGCACTCGAGGAGCCCTTCAGCACGCCGCTGCACTGTAGGAGCCCCTTTCTGGGCTGGTCAAGGCCGGAGCCGGCTCCCTCAGCTTGCAGGGAGGTGTGGAGGGAGAGGCGCGAGCGGGAACCGGGGCTGCGCACGGAGCTTGCGGACCAGCTGGAGTTCCGGGTGGGCGTGGGCTTGGCAGGCCCCGCATTCGGAGGAGCCTGCTGGCCCTGCCGGCCAGAGCAATGAGGGGCTTAGCACCCAGGCCAGCAGCTGCAGAGGGTGTACTGGGTCCTCCAGCAGTGCGGGCCGACCCGCGCTGCGCTCTATTTCTCACCGGGCCTTAGCTGCCTCCCCTCGGGGCAGGGCTCGGGACCCGCAGCCCGCCATGCCTGAGCTCCCCACCCGAGGGCTCCTGTGCGGCCCGAGCCTCCCTGACGAGCACCGCCCCCTGCTCCACAGGACCCAGTCCCATCGACCTCCCAAGGGCTGAGGAGTGCGGGCGCACGGCGCGGGACTGGCAGGCAGCTCCACCTGCAGCTCTGGTGCGGGATCCACTGGGTGAAGCCAGCTGGGCTCCTGAGTCTGGTGGGGACGTGGAGAACCTTTATGTCTAGCTAAGGGATTGTAAATACACCAACAGCACCCTGTGTCAAGCTCAGGGTTTGTGAATGCACCAATGGATACTGTGTATCTAGCTACTCTGGTGGGGCCTTGGAGAACCTTTATGTCTAGCTCAGGGATTGTAAATACACCAATCGGCACTCTGTATCTAGCTCAAGGTTTGTAAACACACCAATCAGCACCCTGTGTCTAACTCAGGGTTTGTGAATGCACCAATGGACACTCTGTATCTAGCTAATCTGGTGGGGACCTGGAGAACCTTTGTGTGTAGCTCAGGGATTGTAAACGCACCAATCAGCGCCCTGTCGGAACAGACCACTGGGCTCTACCAATCAGCAGGATGTGTGTGGGGCCAGATAAGAGAATAAAAGCAGGCTGCCCGAGCGAGCAGTGGCAACCCACTCGGGTCTCCTTCCACAGTGTGGAAGCTTTGTTCTTTGGCTCTTTGGGTCCACACTGCCTTTATGAACTGTAACACTCACCGCGAAGGTCTGTAGCTTCACTCCTGAAGCCAGTGAGACCACGAACCCACTGGGAGGAACAAACAACTCCAGACGCGCCGCCTTAAGAGCTGTAACACTCACCGCAAAGGTCTGCAGCTTCACTCCTGATCCAGGGAGACCACGCACCCACTAGAAGGAAAAAACTCCGAACACATCCGAACATCAGAAGGAACAAACTCCAGACCCGCCACCTTAAGAGCTGTAACACTCACCGCGAGGGTCGGCGGCTACATTCTTGAAGTCAGTGAGACCAAGAACCCACCAATTCCGGACACAAAAGGAGAGTAATTCTGCATGTGACATGAATCACAGAAAGAAAAATCCAACAGGGTAACTCATCCCCCTCATTACTGCCAGATCACATGAGCTCTGAACCTGAAGTGACTTAAAAACTACCTAACATTAGCAAATCTATTTTATTTCAAAATGAAATTATATTGGCTTTTTCCTAATTACCTACTTTAGTATTTCCTTTGTAGAAATGAGTATAATACAAAAAATATAAAGAAGAAAGTAAAAATTAATCTTTTGTCTAAAGATAATGGCTATTAACCTTCTGAAATACATAATTCCAGGTGTTTGTTCTCTACACATACTGTATATATTTTATTTATAAAATAAAATACCATGCGGTCTTTTGTAACATGTATTCCTTACTTATTAATATGTTGTGAGTATTTATGCCAATAAAACTTACTTTCTTGCTTTCAGTAAGTTGTATAAAATTCACTGTATGGATCTATCAAACTTTACATTACCATTCCTCGACTAGTGAAAATTTATAAGGGCAAATTCTCATCCTAATTCACCAACATAAGTGAACAACGATAGGAGCTCTAGGTGTATTCTATGTAATTGGTGATTAAATGGACTACTTCACTTGCAGGTTGTCCTCAAAGATGTAAAGGACACATATTCACAAGACTGAGAAGGAAATACACAACATTTAGCACAAGTGCCCAAATGCACCAACCCTCTCTCCCTCACTTAATATGGGCTACTCTTCTCTACCCAAACTAGAGAAAGATTAGATGTTTGTCTCATTGGTGTGGGGCAGTGTCTGTTTACAGTCTTAGAAAACAAAAATTGTGAATGTCATCTGCAGATAAGAGAACATAGATTTAGGATTCAAAAAGAGGAACTTTGTTTTGGGGCAAGTGGGCAGAAAAAAACCCATTGAACCTGCAGGAAATTGTCCAGCACTGAATCTCACACACACACACACACACACACCACAACACAAATTAACCATTCAATGAATTGTCCTGCCAGATGAAGCCAAAATAGAGATGCACTTGGGGACAGAAATGTTCAGAACTTTTAAGATAAGACTATTCTGGGGAGGTAGGAGACTATGCTAAGAAAGAAAAAGGTGACCCAGTTCAGTATGCAAACCTCAGCAAACCAGGGATTCACAGTTCTTAGCTGGTCTACAGCAGCACAAGGGGAAGTTGATTTTCAATAGTGAAGCTGACAAAACCAACTTACTAAAAATCTTTCAAGGAGTAGAGCAAGATCATTCAAACATTTCTCTGTTTAAGACTTTAGGAATTTCTATTGTCCAGCCAAAGCCAGGTGATTATTTTAAAAAAATCCGGCCGGGCGCGGTGGCTCACGCCTGTAATCCCAGCACTTTGGGAGGCCGAGGCGGGCGGATCACGAGGTCAGGAGATCGAGACCATCCCGGCTAAAACGGTGAAACCTCGTCTCTACTAAAAATACAAAAAATTAGCCGGACGTAGTGGCGGGCGCCTGTAGTCCCAGCTACTTGGGAGGCTGAGGCAGGAGAATGGCGTGAACCCGGGAGGCGGAGCTTGCAGTGAGCCGAGATCCCGCCACTGCACTCCAGCCTGGGCGACAGAGCGAGACTCCGTCTCAAAAAAAAAAAAAATCCTACCCTTGAAGAAACCCTAGGGAAGGCATTCTGCAATGGGCTTTATAGAGCAACTTCTCACTGAAACACCACCTAAGAAATTCCTGAATTTGCATCATTATGTACACTGGTAAAAAGGAACACAGGTAGATCAATAGGTTAATAACATGTTTATTTTAAATAATTCCCATTAGTTAATTTGAGAGGAATTATAATTCACTGTAATAATTGTATCAACTCTGATGCACAGCAGTAGTAAATCTAAATTTAATTGACTAATCATAAACAAATATGAGATAAATTGTTTAATAAATATTTACTGCTAGAGTATTTATTGAGAAAGTAACATTGGAGGATACTATTTTACAGACTGAAAATATAAAAATGTACAAAACATGCAAAACCTCTGCACTTAGGAAGTACACCTTCTATTGAGGGGAGGGGTTGGGCAATGGTTTCATGAGCTGCAATAATGTATCAGCCATCAGTGAGAAGCAGGTAAGTTGGAACGGGAAACAAACAATCATTCTCAGTTAAGGATTTGTCCTAGCGAGAAGAGATTGCCAGATAGCAAGTGTTACAGTTAGCAAGTGTGATGGTTAACACTGAGTGTAAATTTGATTGGATTGAAGGATGCAAAGTATTGATCCTGGGTGTGTCTGTGAGGGTGTTGCCAAATGAGATTAACACTGGAGTTAGTGGGCTGGGAAAGGCAGACCCACACTTAATCTGTGTGGGCACCATCTAATCAGCTGCCAACTTGGCTGGGATATAAAGCAGGCAGAAAAAACGTGAAAAGGCTAGACTGGCTTAGTCTCCCAGCCCACATCTTTCTCCCGTGCTGGATGCTTCCTGGCTTTGAACATCGGACTCCAAGTTCTTCGGCTTTGGAACTCAGGCTGGTTTTCTTGCTCCTCAGCTTGCAGATGGGCTATTGTGGGACCTGGTGATTGTGTGAATTACTACTACTTAATAAACTCCCCTTCATGTATATATTGATCCTATCAGTTCTGTCCCTCTAGAAAACCCTAATTCAGCAAGTATATAATTTATAATTGTCCACCAATGTACAATGTAATGAAACTAATTATATTTAATCTATACTGTAATTAATTTTTAAATAATTTCTAATAAACTTTTAAATGTCTTCAGACAGTAAATTTCCCAGGTAAAACTATGAGGTGGCAAACTAGGCATCCCCTACTGCATTTGAAATTTAGACTTTAAGCCAGGGCGGACTAAATCATAACCTGCAATGGAATAATGTCTGGATAGTCCTCTGTCATTTTTGGATGAATTCCCTCTTCCATAATAAATTGAAGCTTGTTAATAAATATTGAACAATAAAAATAAAATTATTTTCAATTGAAAATCTAAATTACAAGTATCTGAAAGCCTTTGTATCATAAAACAGATTATGCAAATATGTTACATAGAATGTAAACTTTCTGCAAGTATTTTATTATTTGAGCTGTCGATTCTGAATAGATATGCTAAATATGACCTATCTGTAGGAAGAGATATGGTTCATTATCTGATGTGAATGAGTTGGCAATCTGCAAATGAAATTTAATTATTTGTGGATAATTGAATTTTTTTGTTTAATAGTTATCTATTCTAAGTTCCCATTCCCCTAATTATCCAGCCTTTATTATTTGTCCAGCAACTTAAGACAGGTTTATTTTCCTTTGGGAAACATAAATAGTCAATGTTTTTTGTTTTTGCCAGCATCACCATTACTAAAGCAATGGAGATGCCCGTTCTCTGCCTCTTTCATACCCTGGTCTTCAAGATTATTTGTTCAGGAAATATTTAATGAGTACATGATTTATATAATTTTTTTGTAGACACAGGGTCTTGCGCTATTGCCCAAGTCAGTCTTGAACTTCTGCCTTGGTCCTCCAAAGTGTCGGGATTACCAGCTTGAGCCACAGTACTGGGCTGAGTCCCTGATTTGATCCAACTTTTGCGTTCTCTATTTTTGGTAGAAATATAAATGAAGCAGTGTTTGTTCCTGAGCCCTTAAAAAATTCACAATAGTAAAATATGTAGGAAATTCAATACATAATAATGTTAACATTGGGATGATGTCTTATACAACTCTTAAAGTCGTATAAGCTAATATCATATAGGGGAACAAGACAATTGGCATGGAAAAGCTCATGTTTGACTTATATTTCAGTGGGGCTCACTGGGAGAATATGAATGAGGATAAAAAACCTCAAAAATTTTCCTGGCAGAGAAAACAACATAAAATGAAGAAAATGTGTCTATGGTCCAGGATATAAAATCGAAAACAGAGAGATGATATGGAAGATACTCAGATTTCTGAGGGCTGTGAATATAACAATAACATAATTGGACCTGTTATTCCCTAGAGTACCTGGTATTGAGACTTGCACAAATCATTTGCACAATTT
This sequence comes from Homo sapiens, assembly GCF_000001405.40. Lineage (NCBI taxonomy): Eukaryota > Metazoa > Chordata > Mammalia > Primates > Hominidae > Homo > Homo sapiens. Next base: position 70,506,990 of record NC_000013.11, on the reverse strand, counting down.
AAAGTCTGCTTTCATTTGTTAAAACTAAATTATTTCTCTTGAAGTTGCAAGATCTCAGATTGGATTGGGCTTTCTTATTTTTCTCCATTATTTCATTTGGGATATTCTTATTCCCATTCATCAATTTCTACTACCCATCCTTCCTTTATTTCTTCTTTAGTATTCATGATTTGATATCAGTACCTTTAAAAAAATTAATTGATATTTTCTCTCCTGGCATGGTGGCTCATGCCTGTAATCCCAGCACTTTGGGAGGCTGAGGTAGGCGGATCAGTTGAGGTCAGGAACCCGAGACCAGCCTGGCCAACATAATGAAACCCCATCTCTACTGAAAAAAAAAAAAAAAAAAATTAGCCGGCATGGTGTTGCGCATCTGTAATCCCAGCTATTCTGGTGGCTGAGGCAGGAGAATTGCTTGAACCCAGGAGGCAGAGGTTGCCATGAGCTGAGATTGGGCCACTGCACTCCAGCCTGGGCAACAGAGTGAGATTCTGTCTCAAAAATAAAATAAAATAAAAATAAAAAAATTAATTCATGTTTTTCCTCTACATTCCTTAATCTACATTATTTTATTTCAACTTCTTAATTTGCTGTATCTTTGTATGCACATTGTCTCTCTTAGACACATCCATTCAAAGTCTTCAGGTATTGACAAGGATCCCCTCCCTGACCAAACTTTAGTGAGAATCGTTTGAGCTCTCTTCTTGAATAAGTCCCAACCTTCAACCTGCTGTCCTGCCCTTGGCTTGCTGAGTGCAGTTTTAGCAAAGAATTCTGCTAAATTAGCAGTTCCCACTGTTGATGTTGATATCTGATGATATCCTCATTCCCTACCCTTCACATCTAAGTCCTTGGCCTAATTTTAGCAAGAATCCTGTTAAGCAAGTTTAGAGAATCCCGCTATACTTGATGTCTGACCACATTCCTCGTAGTAATTTTCTATCCACTCACTCCCTCACTGTACTGGTTGGCCATAATTTTCCAGCTTTCTTTGCTGTAATCAGAGGTGAGTTCAATCTTTCTTCTCTGTTGCAATATTATCTCATCTGTTGCAATAGTCTTATACAAAGTCTGTTTTACTGGTTTAAGCATGTGCCAGAATAATTTTTCCATTACGATTCCACCTCCATGTGAATAGCTATCACATAACTATCCCAGGCTTGCATTACTCCGTGCTATCTTTTTGAATACAAATTATCTCAGTCAATTCTCAGATATATCATTATATTCCACCAGATCTCTTAAATGGACTCAGTATTTCTTAGAGATATCATCTGTTTCTTATCCCAGGCTTGGAATCTTAATATGATTCTGGAATCTTAATTCTACCAACCTTTCCCATCACATTCCAGTTATGTGCATAATTTATTATACATATGTTCTACGTTCATTCACCCCTCTCCTTCTACCTGCTACCTCTCTAATTTAAGGTTTCATCAATCCATGTCAAAACATTTCAATAGCCTACTTATCAGTCAGTCTCTTTCTATTCTTTCTCCCTTTTAATATTCCTATAAAATACCATCAGCTTACTTTCCACAAAACCAAGCTTAGAGCCTATTAAACCTTGCTCAGATATGTTTATTGCTCCCAGTGCCTAAAGATGTTGTGCTTCCCAAAGACTCTATGCAAGCATCTGGTGACACGTAAAATAATCTAACTTAGCTAATAAGCATAAATTTATAGAAATATTATTATATCATATTAATATGTTACATTATATTCAGATATAATTATAATAATATTATAAAATAACACTGCTATTTTATGTGCATCTCAATTTTTTTTCTTAGTAATTCACTAATTGAGCACTACTAGTAGTTAACAGCTGTCTAGCAGAAAAGACAGGCATAGAAGAATGAAGGAGATCATTAATCCCTGGCTCAGAATCACAGTTCTTCTTTTATTTATATTCCCTTTGCTCAATTATTTAATATCTTATATTTCAGATTTCTAGTTTGTAAAACAAAAATAATTATAGAATTTACTTGATTTGGTTGTTGTGAGAAATGAGTAAGATAGGGCTTATAGGTTAGAACAATGCCTAATAATTAATGGATAATTCAAATTAATGTCAGTTATTAGTATTGTTATTCACTATTAAGAATCCATAATTGTATATTAGAATTTGCATTGTGATCTGTTTCTGTTTTGTTTTGTTTTCTCCTTCTTTGTCTTTTGTTTAACGTCTCATGGGCCAGTGCTGAAAAAATAGGATTTTCAAATTTATATATATTTTGTAAAAAATCAACTCACTTTGGCATATAGAGAAAGCACTTGTCACAGCATCACAAATGAAGATTTAAGATAAGTACTTAATAATGCTGTTATAATTGTCAATCATGTTAAGTTTAGGTCAATAAATTTGTGATTTTCTTTTAACTTTGTGAAAAGATAAATAGTACTTCCACACAACTTGTCTTTTATCATAAAACTTGTTGACTTTCAAAGAGAAACATCCTCACTTACTTATTAAGTTGTGGAAAGGAATTCATCTTTCAGGATAAGATATTCAGCCCATGATATAGTCCACAGAGCTGGGGCAGGCTTTGCAAATTGGCATAAATAATTTCAAGCAATTAAATTTCTCACAAAGCAAATTTGTGACCAGCATATTACCATGAATAGGAATGAATATGATAATTATAAAACTCAAATTATGTAATCAAAACTTTGATAAGAATGAGTCAGGTGCATTATGTTATCTAAAATATATGATTAGGAGTTTATCTGAAAAATCATAGAAAATATTTTAAACGTTCTGAAAACCTCTTAAATTACCTTTCTAATTAAAAAAAAGATAACAGGTATAACTAGAAATAGAACACTTTTATAATATTTTCTGAGTATTCCCAAATAAGTAAATATACTTACAAGAAAATATAAATCATCAACAATTTTTCATAGTTGTATCAAAACAAATGTTTGTTTACAAATTATTTATATATTTTTGGAAAGATTTTTTAGAATTCAACTCTATCAAAAAAGCCACATTTTTTAATGTTTTATTTTGAAACTGAGGAAATGTAAAGATAGTGCAGAAAGTTCTAGTATGCCCTTTACCCAGCTTCCCCAATATTCACATATTACATAACCATGGTATAAATATCAAAAATAAGAAATTAACATCTTTACATGACTGTTAACTAAACTACAGATTTTACTTGGATTTTCCCAGGTTTCCTACTAATTTTATACAATCCATTTTGGATTTGGCTGTCACTTAACAAAATGAATTTGAGATTCATTCTGTTGCCTGAATGAAGTTGTCCCTTTTCTTTATCGAGAAATATTTCATTGTATGCTATGGTTCATTTAGTCCTTCATCTTTGAGAGACACTTGACTTGTTTCATTTTAGGGTTGGAAGGATACTATAAATACTCATGGACAGTTTTTGTCTGTGAAATCCATAGTGAGAAAGCAAACATCTTAATTAAAAATATCTTAAAGAATTTGAAGAGTCACAGCTAATGCATGTGGGGCTTAAAACATAGGTGACGGGTTGACAGGTGCAGCAAGCCACCATGGCACACGTATACCTGTGTAACAAACCTGCACATTCCACACATGTATCCTGGAACTTAAAGTAAAAAAATAATAATAAAGTTAAAAAAAAAGGAATCTGAAGAGTCAACTTAGCAGAGAAATACTAAAGGCAACAAGCATTATTCAAAAATTTTCAACAGTGTTAGTCACTAGGGAAAAGCAAATAAAGCAAATTAAAATCACAATGAGATCCCACTACATCTTTTTTGTTGTTGTTTGTTTCTTTGCTTTTGTTTTTTTCTTTCAGACAGAGTCTTACTCTGTCACCCAGGCTGGAATGCAGTGGCTTGATCATGGCTCACTGCAGCTGTGACCTCTCAGACTCAAGCAATCCTCCTGCTTCAGTCTCCTGAGTAGCTGAGACTACAGGCACATGCCACCACACCAGCTACTTTTATTTTTTTTTCCGAATTTTTGCAGATATGGTGTCTCACTGTTGCCCAGGCTGGTTCAAACTCCTGGGCTAAAGTGATCCTCCCACTTTGGCCTCCAAAAATGCTGGGATTACAGGCAGGAGCCACTGTGCCCAGTCTCACCACACCTCTTAAAGTGATTTTTTTTTTTTTTTTTTTTTGACAGAGTCTTGCTCTGTCACCAGGCTGGAGTGCAGTGGTGTGATCTTGGCTCACTGCAACCTCCATCTCCTGAGTTCAAATGATTCTCCTGCTTCAGCCTCCCAACTAGCTGGGACTACAGGGGCACGCCACCATGCCCAGCTAATTTTTGTATTTTTAGTAGAGACAGGGTTTCATCATGTTGGCCAGGATGATCTTGATCTCTTGACCTCATGATCTGCCTGCCTCAGCCTCCCAAAGTGCTGGGATTACAGGTGTGAGCCCCTGTGCCCTGCCAATTTTTCTTTTTTAAAGCTGACAATTCAAAGTGCTGGTGTGTATGCTGGTATATATAAATATAACTGACCTCTGCATGTTAATCATAGTAGCTAAAACTTCCACTATGATGTAGAATAGGAGTGGTGAGAGAGGGCGTTTTGCCTTGTTCCCCATCTTAGGGTGAAAATATTAAATCTCTTATCATTAAGTGTCATGTTAGCTGTACCTTGTATTTGGATGATCTCAATAGATTAAGAACATTTTCTTCCATTGTTAATGCACAGGGAGAGAGTTGTGTTTTTCTTTCTTTTTGTCATGAGTAGATGATGAATTTGGTCATTTGCTTTTCTGCATCTACTGAAAAAATATGTATATATTCTTTATTATGTAAATACAGTAAAGTTCATTGACTTCAAATGTTGGACTAATTTTGCATTCTTAGATAAACTCCACTTGGTCATAATGTATTTTCATTTTTACATATTGCTGAGTTTGATTTGTAAACATTTTGTTTAGAATTTTTGTGTCTAGGTTCATGAGAACTATTGCTTTATAGATATTTTTAAAAATTTTATCCTGCATATTCAAGGAATATAACATGATGTTATGGAATACATATACATGGTAAAAAGGTTACTGTAGTGAAACAAATTAACATACCTATCATCTTACATTGTCACCTTTTTTGTTGTTTTGTAGCAATAACAGCTAAAATCTTCTCATTTAGCACAAATTACACATACGGTATAATTTTATTATCTATAGTCCTCGTGTTGTACATTAGATCTCTAGATGTGTTCATCCTACATAACTCCTACTTTGCGTCCTCTGACTTTTCTTTCTCCACCCTGCACCACCCTTAGTAATGACTACTTTATTCTCTCCATGTGCATATTGATTCCACATATAAGTGAAAACACGCAAATTTTTATTTCTATGTCTGGCTTATTTATGTTAGAATAATGTCCTCCAGTCTCATACATGTTGTGACAAAAGGCAAGAGATTGTTCCTTTTTAACGTTGTGTAATATTCCATTGTATATAATCTACAATTACCTTGTCCATTTGTCTGTTAACCAACAGTTTGTTTTCATATCTTGGCTATGGTAAATAATGCTGCAATGAACATGGGAGCACAGATATCTTTACAAGGTGGTGATTTCATTTCCATTGCGTATATGCCCAGAAGAGGAATTGTTGGGTTATACAGAAGTTCTATTTTTAATTTCTTTAGAAACCTCCATATTGTTTTCCATAATAGTTATATCAATCTACATTCCCACCAACAGGTACAAGTGTCCCATTTTTCTCCACACTCTCACTATCATTTATTATCCATTGACATTTTGATGACAGCTATCCTGACAGGCATGAGGTCGTATCTCATAGTGTTTTTTATTTGCATTTCTCTAATGATCAATAATGTTGAGTTCCTTTTCATACACCTGTTGGCTATTTTTATGTCTTATTTGGATAAATATTTATTGAAGTATTTTGCCCATTTTTAACTGGGTTATTCATTTCTCCACTACTGAGCTGTATGAGCTCTTTATACATTTTGGATATTAACCCCTTATCAGATATATGGTTGTAATATTTTCCCCAGTCTATAGGCTTGCTGGCTTCTAAGTAGAATTGAGAAGTGTCTACTGAAACTTAAATTTTCTTGATAGATATATTATTCTTCACATTACCATTTTTTGAGCCAGTCTTTGTTATTTGTTTCAAGAACTTTGTTCATTTTATCTAAGTTGTCAAATTAATGGTCATAGCATGTTTACAGTGTTCCCTTATTTTTTAATATCTGTAGGTTCAGTAGTGATGTGCTCTCTTTCATTCTTGATATTAATAATATATCTTCCTTCTTTGTCAGATTCTTGTTAATTTGATTAATCATTTCAAAAGAAACTGGATGTTCGTTTAAATGATGTTTTTATTGCTTTTCTGCTTTCATTGTCATTGATTTCTTTATTAATTTTTATTATTTCCCTCATATTTTATTTGAGCTAAAATTGTTCTTTCTCTCTGAGACATTTCATCCTTTCTAATATATGCATTTAGTGAAATAAACTTCCCTTTCAAACTTCCTTTAGCTGGAACCGCTCCAATTTTATGTAAGTGATTTCATTTTCATTCAGTTCAAAAAGGTTTCTTAAAGTTCTCCTGAGATTTCTTATTTGACCCATGGTCCCTTTAGAACACACACACACACACACACACACACACACACACACACACACACACACATACATATACATATAATTATTTTTTTGAATTTTGGGATAACCCAGACATATATGTATTATTTTCTAGCTTAATATGATTATGATAGGATAACATATTTTGCATACCTCCTATTCTTTTACATTTTTTAGTATTTGGTTTATAAGCCAAAATATAATCTAGCTTGGCAAATGGTCCATGTGCTTTGGAGAATAATGCTTTGGTCCATGTACTTTCCAAGTATTCTAGGGTGAAGAACTTTGTAATTGTCAATCAGGTCAAATTACTGACAAGTTTATTCAGTCATCTATATCCTAACTGATTTTCTTCCTATTAATTTTATCAGTTACTGAGAATAAAGTGTGACGTCTGCAACTACAATTGTAGAGACAGGTTTTCACCATGTTGCCCAGGCTGGTCTCAAACTCCTAACATCAGGTGATCCACCTGCCTCAGCCTCCCAAAGTGCTGGGATAACAGGCGTCAGCCACAGCACCTGGCCCGAATTAACTATCTTATTATGTAATAGCTCTCTTCATCACTGATAATATTCCCTGTTCTAAAGTCTACTTCGTTTGATGTTAATACAAGAAGTCAACCTTTCTTTTGTGTAGTGTTTCGATATCTTTCCCTATCCTTTTACTTTTAACCTACTTATGTCTTGCATTTAAAGTGAATTTCTTGTAGACAACACAGAGTTGAGACTTACTTTGCTTTTTAATACAACATGAATATGTTATCACATTTTTATTATTGCCTATTTAACTTTCTTTTTTTATTATACTTTAAGGCCTAGGGTACATGTGCACAATGTGCAGGTTTGTTACGTGTGTATACATCTGCCATGTTGGTGTGCTGCACCCATTAACTCGTCATTTACATTAGGTATATCTTCTAATGCTATCCCTCCCCCCTCCCCCCACCCCATAACAGGCCCTGGTGTGTGATGTTCACCTTCCTGTGTCCAAGTGTTCTCATTGTTCAATTCCCACCTATGAGTGAGAACATGCAGTGTTTGGTTTTTTGTCCTTGCGATAGTTTGCTGAGAAGGATGGTTTCCAGTTTCATCCATGTCCCTACAAAGGACATGAACTCATCCTTTTTAATGGCTGCATAGTATTCCATGGTGTATATGTGCCACATTTTCTTAATCCAATCTATCATTGATATGGTTCCAAGTCTTTGCTTTTGTGAATAGTGCTGCAATAAACATACATGTGCATGTGTCTTTATAGCAGCATGATTTATAATCCTTTGGGTATATACCCAGTAATGGGATGGCTGGGTCAGACGGTATTTCTAGTTCTATATCCTTCAGGAATTGCCACACTGTCTTCCGCAATGGGTGAACTAGTTTACAGTCCCACTAACAGTGTAAAAGTGTTCCTATTCCTTCACATCCTCTCCGGCACCTGTTGTTTCCTGACTTTTTAATGATTGCCATTCTAACTGGTCTGAGATGGTATCTCATTGTGGATTTGATTTGCATTTCTCTGTTGGTCAGTGATGATGAGCATTTTTTCATGTGTCTGTTGGCTCCATAAATGTCTTCTTTTGAGAAGTGTCTGTTCATATCCTTCACCCACTTTTTGATGGGGTTGTTTGTTTTTTTCTTGTAAATTTGTTTGAGTTCTTTGTAGATTCTGGATATTAACCCTTTGTCAGATGAGTAGATTGCGAAAATTTTCTCCCATTCTGTAGGTTGTCTGTTCACTCTGATGTTAGTTTATTTTGCTGTGCCAAAGTTCTTTAGTTTAATTAGATCCCATTTGTCAATTTTGGCTTCTCTTGCCATTGCTTTTGGTGCTTTAGACATGAAGTCCTTGCCCATGCCTATGTCCTGAATGGTATTGCTTAGGTTTTCTTCTAGGATTTTTATGGTTTTAGGTCTAACATTTAAGTCTTTAATCCATCTTGAATTAATTTTTGTATAAGGTGTAAGGAAGGGATCCAGTTTCAGCTTTCTACATATGGCTAGCCAGTTTTCCCAGCACCATTTATTAAATAGGGAATCCTTTCCCCATTTCTTGTTTTTGTCAGATTTGTCAAAGATCCGTTGGTTGTAGATGTGTGGTATTATATCTGAGGGCTCTGTTCTATTCCATTGGTCTATATCTCTGTTTTGGTACAAGTACCATGCTGTTTTGGTTACTGTAGCCTTGTAGTACAGTTTGAAATCAGGTAGTGTGATGCCTCCAGCTTTGTTCTTTTGGCTTAGGATTGTCTTGGCAACGTGGGCTCTTTTTTGGTTCCATATGACCTTTAAAGTAGTTTTTTCCAATTCTGTGAAGAAAGTCATTGGTAGCTTAATGGGGATGGCATTGAGTCTATAAATTACCTTGGGCAGTATGGCCATTTTCATGATATTGATTCTTCCTATCCATGAGTGTGGAATGTTCTTCCATTTGTTTGTGTCCTCTTTTATTTCATTGAGCAGTGGTTTGTAGTTCTCCTTGAAGAGGTCCTTCATATCCCTTGTAAGGTGGACTCCTAGGTATTTTATTAGCTTTCAATATTTTTCAATAGGTGGTAAATTTCTTGAGAAATATGTTTTGTATTTTCACAATTTGATTCTTAAGAAACAGCATATTTCCTTGAATATAAAAATGTCAACAAATATTTGCATAATAAATAAATCGCTGGAGAAGTATAAGTAAATGTTCTTTTAATAAGAGGAGAGTAGACCTTTCAGTCTAGTTCAGTCATTAGCCATGTCAGTTGATGTATATCACTAACTTTCTCATCTAATTTTCTCACCCTTAAACTGGGTTTTTTGGAACAATCGGATACACAGGTTGAGTATCCACTATTAAAATGTTTGGCACCAGAAGTGTTTTGGATTTGTTTTTCTTTTTTAATTTTTATTTTGCAATATATTTATATACATAACGAGATATCATGGGGTACAGAATCCAAGTCTAAACGCAAAATTCATTTATGTTTTATGTACACCTTATACACATAGCCTGAGGTAATTTTGTACACAATTTTTAATAATTTTTTGCATGAAACAATTTTGTGTTGATTATTTCTTTTGTGAAGTTTTCCACTTGTGATGTCATGTGTATGCTCAGACAGTTTCAGATCATTTTCTTTGTGTGGGAAAGATTATCTATCACTGGAAATTGAGGTTAACTGAAATAATAATATTGGAAAAATTTTAAGTGTGACATTACAGAAAAACCAAAATATATGTTAAATTTTTAAAAAGGAGCTGTTAAAACCTGCCAATAGAATGTCTGTAGAATCATTTTCAATTAGCTAAAAAAGAAACCACAATTATAGGAAAAATCCCAGTATAGATTAAGTGAGTTAAAATCAAAATGGGAAGATTTTTGAATTCAATCAGCTCAATAGAAGGCGCAAAACTTGTGTAAGAGTTGACTATAAAACTTCTAAAAACAGGCTCTTAGAAGGACTTGCAAAAAAAAAGTTGTGATAAAAATGAAAGTATAATTGGCTGAAAATAAAACTTAAAAACTTAACAATGCTCAATGAGCACATGATACACCAGGTTTCAAGAAATTATGTGACAAGACTGGGGGATCCTAGGTTGTCGCACTGCTGTACTTGGCAAACATGGCCTTGGTAGAGTCACTCCAATCATTAACTGTTTGCGGTCAACTCATGCTGCAAGTCACATTTAGTGGATATCCTGATCACCAGTCCCAGATAATATTGAAATATCAAAAGAGTCAAGTTGGAAATTTTTCTCTCCTTCATTGAGTAAGTAAATAAGTAATACTGAAAGGAAGAATTTAATTAAATACATATTTAAATTGCGTTTGTTTTAAAGATAATATTTTAATTATTATTGTGCTGATGTGTGTGTTTGTTGTATTATTTCAGGTTTTTTAAACATTTAGGGAACTAACATTTTAGACTTGTGTTTTTAATTTTAAATACTGAAGAGAATTTGAGAAATTAAAATGTTACATATTACATTAGTGTTTGAAACAATTTTGTGCATGAAACAACTTTGTGTGGAGTATTTTATGTGTGTGATATTCCACTTGAAAGTGTTACATTAGTGTTTAAAATCATCTGATTTATTTGATTAAGCATTTGATCAATTACATATTAATGAAAGCTCAAGCTACAATAATTATTCTTATTCTTGATTATTAAAAGGTGCTAAAATACATAACTGTTAATGAAACTAGCATAGAAACAGTAGTGTATAGAGATTGGATGATTTTATAAAACTTATAATAATTATAAAAATTAATTTAAAAAATTATACACAAGAGAGACAACAAGATTTCCTTATAAATAAAAGTGAAGCAAAAAAAGGATGTTGTTAAAGACTTACTTGAACCATCTATACAATTTTGCTTCTAAGAATAAATGTTTGATCAGTAGCTATTGCATATAAAATTTAAATAATTACTGGCTAATATATTATTGTGAAATTTATGACAACATTGGTTGAGGAGGTCATTTTGACAATGTCTGACATGGAACTTGGTGGAAAGAAAAAAGACTTTTAACTTATTTTTTTCTAATATTTTTGGCCTTTAAATCTAGCAATGGTCAAAGGTAGATTTCTTCAATATGTACTGTGTCAACTCACATAATTTTTAAAGTAGATAAAAGTTATTGATTATTATTATTCATACTGTTACTATTTTAGGTCTTGGACTGTGACTTAGAGTTTAAATGCACCATTCCTCTAAAACATATAGCCATATTTGCACAATTAGCTTTTGTTTAGCTGAAGGCAGATAGCCAATCCTAAACACATGAGGCATAAAGATTCTGGGGACTGAAAGATTTTTAATTGGACCACATGCATAGCAGGTGTTCAATAAGTGCCAAATTACGTTTAAAAGCTTTTGCTTGGTACCAGCAGTTATCTTTTGCTGATTGGTTAATAACTGTTTCTCCCCACATTCCCATTGGTAATTTCCTTTTCTACCTTCTTTCCAAGACATTGTGCTCTTTCTTCTCTCTTCTCTAGCAGGCTGGCTATGTTATTTTTCTAATTGCTGATAAAATTTGTTTATAAATGATATAAAACCGTGTGTGTGTGCACATGCCTTTGGGTTTGGTTGGGAAGATTAATTTGACTGCCCCTGGATGTTTGTTATTGGATTATATGAGAGCAGACAAATCTGCTAAGATGTTAGAGGTATTGTTCAGGCACAGCTTTACTCAAGGAAAGATGTTACTTTTAATCTTGAGGGTCACAGAGCTTCTACCTAAGTATTCTCCTTCCTTCGTGACCCTTATTCTTTTACTTTCCTTCCTTCAGCATACAAGATTCTGTCTTCTGTCTCAATTCTCAGCCCATTGTGAACCAAAAATCTTAGTCTTTTGTGTCTTATGCAATGTTACTGCCTTAAACTAGTCCTTTGTCTTATAAAGGATGTGAGTGTTCATTAATGCACATTAATACCGATGTGAGTAACTAGTAGATATGTAATAGTACAAGATATTAGGAACACTGTGGAGTCTGACATTATTTATAGAAACTAAATGTAGGGGCAAAAAAGGAGGAAACAGAAATGCCATTTGTGATGAAGAAAATTTTTTTTAATTTAAATTTCAATACAATGCTAAACCCATTTCAAGGTTTTCAGTTTACATCTTCACTAATCTGAGCCCTTGGTATTCATAAAGCAATTTTAAGGGCAGGGAGGGAGATAGGTGGAGGGCAGATGGCAAATGGGGGCACATTCTCAAGGTTCCCGTTGTTAAGTAAAATGTTTCTAATGATTCACTAAAAATGTGTTTATTTTGGCTGGGCGCGGTGGCTCACGCCTGTAATCCCAGCACTTTGGGAGGCCGAGATGGGCGGATCATGAAGTCGGGAGATCGAGACCATCCTGGCTAACACGGTGAAACCCTGTCTCTACTAAAAATACAAAAAAAAATTTAGCTGGGCGTAGTGGCGGGCACCTGTAGTCCCAGCTACTCGGGAGGCTGAGGCAGGAGAATGGTGTGAACCTGGGAGGCGGAGCTTGCAGTGAGCCGAGATGGTGCCATTGCACTCTAGCCTGGGCGACTGAGCAAGACCCTGTCTCAAAAAAAAAAAATTGTTTAACATTCAAGTCTATTTTATGAATAGCAATGCTTGTTATTATAACAAGCTTTTTTTTCTTTAAAATTGGCCATTATTCCAGGAAGTTTCTGTGAATTAACTTATGCACATTTATTTAGTCAATGACATACACCTCCATCCTAGGAGTGGATTTATGTACCAGTTTAAAAATCATGGGTGTATTTCTACGGAGAAGTTTAGCCATGTTCCTACAGGTAGTATTTTAAGTTATAACCTAAGATATGGGTGCTCAAATGCTGAAATTATAAGCATCTTGGCAAGGAAATCCTTCCAACACACCCATTTATAAGAAAGTCTCAATTATTCCATTCATCTTTTTTCTAAATAACTGAATACCTTGAATCTATCATCAGGAAGCCAAATAGTGACATTTAACTAAGTGTGGTTCTTCAAGGGTGGTTAAATACTACATTGCCAGAGGAAATGAGTTGGGAATAAGACATTTCAGAAAGCAGATCTGAGACCTCAAAGAAGTAAACAAATTATTCAGTAATTATACTCACATTCTATAAGGAAACATGCATCTATCAAAGAAAATTATAGTTCCTCCATACAATTTCAAATGAATGTTAAATGGTATGTGAAAAATATAAAGGCTGTACTTAAAATATATACCTTTATTCTCTTAAAAATATAATATGTACCTTTATTCCTTTTATGTAAGCAATTTAAATTGAGGTAGTATTGCAAAACAAACACACTATTAGTCATATTTCCATAATAGGAGGAAATAAGATTCAGGATGCTTTTAGTTCACACAGGTAAAGTTTAAAGGAAATATAAATGCTACTGAAAATGCAAACATTGAGGCTGAAGCCTAAATGTTTAACATTTCAAAGGTGCATAATCCAACTAGAGAATAGTAAAGAGCTTAAAAAAATGGACTGGATACATTTAATATTTGTTCTACCTGTGTTTAGAAGTTTATTTGTTACTTTGCATTTATTATTTCTATGCCTCTCAGGTACTCTCTCTGAAGCTATATATAACATTACGTTTTAATATTAACAGAAGAAAAATAACTTTCCTCAAACTCATTATAGACAATGGAAAATCAATGCCAAAATGAATTGTTTCACAATTCAGCTTGTTGTAGTAGTTACAGCATTACTGTTGACATACAAACATATTGATATAACTGGTAATCATCTCTTCTTATGCTACTAGCACTGTCCACCTTGTTTGTCACCTGCAAAGGTCCTATTGATTTATATGGGGCTAAGAAATTTGGGACTATATTTTCTCCTCCTTTGAGTTACAGAATTAGTTTTGAGCACATTCACTTAACCAGGAAGAGAAAGAGACTCACTCAACTAAATATACATGCTGAATGACCTAGTTGTTGAGTCAATGAGTCAATCAGAGGAAGCAAGGCAAGAAGACAAGAAGACAAGAGTTTCCCGTATCATTCCCTGGGATACAGAAAGACCAGCTAGCAAGACTGGGAAAGTTTTAAATGTGAATTTTGCCCAGCTCACTCTGTAGGCTTCAGTTCATCTTATTAATATGCATTCAGGGGAACACTGGGTTAAGTAACAAGGTGTCATACTAAAGTATGAAGAAAACATGCTATGCTACATTTATTCACAGGAGAAACAAGGAACAAAAGTTTTTCCATTTGTCTTACAAATGGACGGCATTTGTAGGTACTGGAAAATATTTACAGACAAAACTGATATGTTGTTATAATTTTGCTTCCATACTTTAGGCTTTTTAATAGATATCAAGAAGCGGGGAGGAAATGAAAAGCAATAAGTTACAAAGCACATACTTTTGAGGGCAATGAATCCTGCTCCACCAGGCCTTCCCTTCCTAAAATACTTCAAGAATTTAACTTTAAATTTTTCCAAGAAAGTCTCACAGAGTCACCAATGAGAAAATAATTATTTATTACATCTTTAGTTTTTAAATAAATAAATATAAAATTGAGTCCCAGATATTTCTATACTTATCAAATTTTATATTGCCAAATTACACCCACTGCTTCATATTAAGAAGTGCAGGTGTTAATTAGTGTGGTGATGTAACTATGCTATGCAGCAGCTTGTCCAAGTAATCGATAATTGGCAAATTATAGATTACTTTTTTCTTACATAAAGGTAAAAATAATTATAAAATACATCATATTTTTTCAAGCATATTACCTATTATTCAGGTAATAGTAATTTTTGAAGGGAAATAATCAACTTGAAAAAATATACATGGATTCAGTTCTCTTAAGGAATAATATGTGTTTTTCCCAAAAGATCCTGATCGTGAGATTGTAGGACAGCTGCAATATATTCATGATGTTTGTTAAAATAGACAAAAAGTACCAGATCCCCTGAGTATCCAAAGTATAAAAATTCAGAGAGAATTTGGTGATAATTAGTTGCTGGATAATTATCCCATTGAATAGTAATCATATCCCTCCATTTTCTTGATAACCCTAATTGTTTTTCTTAACCTTTTTAAAATAAAAGGATAATAATTTATTTCTACAAATTTGAACATTCTACAAAAAGTTAAAAACTTCTTTTTCAGATTCGCTAGCAAAAATTTTAGTACAAAAGTTTTGTAAATAGAGTACTGTATTAGTCCATTTTCATATTGCCATAGAGAACTTCTCTGAGACTGGGTAATTTATAAAGAAAAGAGGTTTAATTGACTTCTAGTTCCACATGGCTGGGGAGACCTCAGGAAACTTACCATCATGGAGTAAGGGGAAACAGGCACCTTCTTCACAAGGTGGCAGGAGAGAGAAAAATGAAGGAGAAACATCTAAACACTTATGCAACCATCAAATCTTGTGAAAACTCACTCACTTCATGAGATCAGCATGGGGAAACTGCACCCATGATCCAATCACCTCCCTGCTTGACACATGTGAATTACAATGAGAGATTAGATTTGGGTGGGGACACAGAGCCAAACCATATCATTCTGCCCCTGGCCCCTCCCAAATCTTATATCTTTTCACATTTTAAAACCAATCATGCCTTCCTAACAGTCCCCCAGATTCTTAACTCATTTCAGCATTAACTCAAATGTCCATACCCATAGTCTCATCTGAGACAAGGCAAGTTCCTTCTACCTATGACCTTGTAAAGTCAAAAGCAAGTTGGTTACTCCCTAGATACAATGGGGATACAGGTATTTGGTAAATGCTCCCATTCCAAATGGAAGAAATTGGCCAAAACAAAGGGGCTATAGGCCGCATGCAAGTCCAAAATCTAGCAGGGCAGTAATTAAATCTTGAGGCTCCAAAATAATCTCCTTTGATTCCAAGTCTCACATCCGGAATGTGCTGATGCAAGGGGTGGGCTCCCACAGCCTTGGGCCCTCCTTCATGGACTGACATTGAGTGCCTGCAGCTTTTCTAGATGCACAGTGAAAGCTGTTGGTGTATCTACCATTCTGGGGTCTGGAGGACTGTGGCCCTCTTCTCACAGCTCCACTAGAGAGTGTACCAATTGGGACTCTGTGAGGGACCCTAACCCCACATTCCCTTTCCACACTGCCCTAGCAGAAGTTCTCCGTGAGGGCCCTGACTCTGCAGAAGATTTCTATCTAGACATCCAGGCATTTCCATACAACCTCTGAAATCTAGGTGGAGTTCCCAAACCTCAATTCTTGACTTCTGTGCACCTTCAGGCCCAACACCATGTGGAAGCTACCAGGGCTTGGGGCTTGCACCCACTGAAGCAATGGCCTGAGATGTACCTTTGTCCCTTTTAGCTACAGCTGGAGCTGGAGGAGCTGGGATGCAGGACACCAAGTCCCAAGGCTGCAAACAGCAGTAGAGTTCTGGGCCTAGCCCACAAAACCATTTTATCCTCCTAGACCTCCCGGCCTGTGGTGGGAGAGGCTACCACCAAGATCTCTGACAATGCCCTAGAGGCATTTTCCCCATTATCTTGGTGATTAACATGTGGCTCTGCATTGCTTAAGCAAATTTCTACAGCTGACTTGACTTTCTCACCAGAAGATGGGTTTTCCTTTTCTCTCACATCATTAGGTTGCAATTTTCCAAACTTTCTTGCTTTGCTTCCCTTTTAAAATAAGTTCCAATTGCAGATCATACTTCTCAAGGTCAAAGTTCCACAGATCTCTGGAGTAGGAGCAAAATGCCACCAGTCTCTTTGCTAAAGCATAGGAAGAGTGCTAAAGCATAGGTTCAGTTCCCAAGAAGTTCCTCATCTCCATCTGAGACCACCTCAGCCTGGACTTCATTATCCACCTCATTATTAGCATTTTTGTCAAAACCATTCAACAAGTCTCTAAGAAGTTCCAAACTTTCCCACATCTTCCTGTCTTCTGAGCTCCCCAAACTGTTCCAACCTCTTCCTGTTACCAGTTCCAAAGTCATTTCCACATTTTCATTTTATCTTTGTAATAGTACCCCACTCTCCATGATACCAATTTACTGTAGTAGTCCATTTTCACACCACTATAAAAAACTTCCCTGAGAATGGTTAATTTATATATATATATATATATAAAAGGAGATTTGATTGGCTCACAGTTCCACATGGCTGGGGAGGTCTCAAGAAACTTAAAATCATGGTGGAAGGGGAAGCAGGCCCCTTCTTCACAAGACAGTAGGGGAAAGAAGAATGAGGAAGAACTGTCAAATACTTATAAAACCATCAGATCTTGTGAGAACTTACTCACTGTCATGAGAACAGCATGTGGAAAACTGCCCCCATGATCCTGTCACCTCCCTCCTTTGACATGTGGGGATTACAATTTGAAATGAGATTTGAGTGGAGATACAGAGCCAAACCATATCAAGTACACAAATGTGATGTAGTTTATTGTGCCAGGAGATATCTTACAAAGACTCAGAATCCACCAGGAAGCTCTGACCTCACATTTGCTTGGAATTTACCTCAATTCTTTTTATAAGGATTAAAGCTTCCTCTGAGGTGATTTCTTTGTTGATTCTGTCAAACCAACTCTCTAGGAGCCCTATAAATCATATATTCTTATCATAGGCATTTAATATGTGATAATCACACAAACTACTTACTTTCCCAAAACTTTTTATGAAAACTTTATATGGAAAAGGAATGCAACATAGATATTTTATTGAATATTTAATTTTTCTAGGTATCTAATACAACTGGATATACTTTACTAGTTCTGATTAACATTTTAAATAATCTGACGTGCACAATGAACTGTGTCAAGTTTTGGTGTTCTAAAAATTAAAATATATATTATTTATATATATCAGGACTATATATTTATGTAATATATCAGGACTACATATATTATATATATCAAGACTATATATAAAATATAAATAGGACTATGGATATTATATAATATATTAAGACTATATATAATATATAAATCAGGACTATATTTATGTGTGTATATATATGTATCTCTGTGTGTATATATATATTTAAGAGACATAGTTTACAGAAAATGGATTCATAAACATAATTTTGGTAGAATAAATAAGGATTAATATAGAGGACACTAAAGAGTAAAGATCCAGGTTTTTATATTACACACACACACACACACACACACATATACACTCTCTCTCTCTCATTCAACCTTACAATTATACAATAATGGATGGATTGAGCAATATTTTGTATTCCCAGATTTATGTTGTAAATAGCATTAAAATTTCTACCCCTTCAGTTGCAGCAAGAGAAAATCCAGCATAAATCTTACTGAAGGTTCATATTTCAATTTTAAATGCAGGAATTTGAGCTGTAGTGTCTTACCTGAGAGTAAGTTATTTGTTCTGGGAATTCTCCTGTTACTAGTTTAAGATAGATGTTGGTACAAACCTTTATAAGACATTTCTAAGAATCTCTCCTACCTCTCGCAAATGTCTTTTAAACACTTCTAGAAAAGAGGGAACACATCTTACATTGGACTGGAATGTTTTGCAATTCTCAGAAGTGATTTTCCATGCTTTCTTATAACCACTTGAGCCTTTTTAAACAATAACTATAGATGTCAAGTTCCTCCTGACCCACTGATTTCTTTAATATTGTCATTATAATTGAAAATTCAGATTTATAAACCCAAGATAAAGAAAAGGTAATCTTTTTTGGCACACCAATGTTGAGAGGTCTGCACTGGTTGGCTGAGGCCATTTTCCATGACAAATATACAAATCACAGCTGGCCTCAAGTGTAGATTTATTTTACAGTGAGCTTTCCTTGGTACGAATTGTTATATCTTTAAAAATATCTTCAACTATTATGTAACTGAAATAGAGGATAGTAGAAAATACTTTAAGTCATTTTCCTTATAGCAAAACCACAGAGGACAAAGCACTTCCTTTAGTCACTTTGACTTTATTAAGAACTCTCCAAGTATGCTTGTAATGATAGAAATGGCACTTCTCATGGCATTGGTTTTATTCAACAATATGAGATGAATATAGATTTTTGAACTAAATTCTTCAAAAGCACTCTTTCTTAGTAAGTACACATGGCAAATTTTCAGTTATGTTGAGGTATACAGTTAAGAAACTAGAAGAGCAATGTAGGAGATTGCAGTGGACTAGGATAGATTTATAGAATGAGCTCACTTTAACAGACATCAGGTTTATGAGTTTTCTTGAGAGAGAGAGTGCTTTTTTATTTACTCAGAGGGACAAAAACAATCATACCATAATATCGGACCAATATTACCAATGGGAAAAGAGTAGCTGTAGTAAAAATGCACTTTGCTGCATGAAACAAAATGTTTATATATGATGAAAAAAATTGTCTTAGGAAATGAAATGAGAAGCCCCAGGGGACTCAGAAATAAAAACACTGGAAATCAAATATCACATACTAAAGTCCTTTAATTAGTCTTTGTTTACTGAAAGGTATCTTGCAGTAACAGTTTTATTAAAACAGACTTTTAAAAATTGTGTTCTAAAGATGAAATAAAATAGTAAATACTTCATGTGAATATAACTCAATATGACACATCTCACTGACCAAGAACTAATTTAAGATCTTTTTTACTATTATGGAAAATCAAATGTATGCATCCTTAAGTAGCATAAAATAGCGACCCACAAAATTCAAGGTATGATTTCATACATCTTTTCAGAGCCTTATGCAAGGTAGTTCCGGCCCACAGGGAAGAAATGTACTGTTAACATTACTATAACTGTGAGTTAGTGAAACAAATGCTTTATAGAAGCTTTTAAAACAATTATAGCTCTAAGATTTATCATTTACTGGCCATTTGAGGGCATATGCTCATTGATTTAGCCCCTAGAGGAATTATTTTCCTTTTGAATTAAAATAAATAGTATAGTAACAGCTGTCTTACATTGTTGTATCTGGAAAAAGAAGAGTTCTATGTAAATTGAAATAGTGCCCCTGTTGACAAAAATATGCTGTATTTGTTCAGATAAGTTTATAATTAAAATTTAGTTTCACTTACTACATTCTTGCCTAGTATCTCCTCCACACCACAAACCATGGCAATGTAAGAGTGTATTTATGATGGAAGTTCATTTTATAAAGCAAAGTACTCCAAGGTAATTTAGAGACATAGGAAATGAAGTAAAGACCTGTGACAATTGTCCACGTGATTTACATTAAAAATAACTCTATGAATTCCTTTTAAAAAAACAAGAAAAAAAGATTATTTTTACTGGGAATTAAATATTCATCACCTCCTGTTGCCCATATGTTTTTGCTTATTGCTATAGATATAGAAATACACACACACACATACACACATGTGTATATTAGAGGTAGGAGGATGGCTTTCAAAAATTACAGCAGGGTAGGTATTTGTCTCTCACATAAGCAATCAGCCACTTTGACTTCCAATCTTCTAAACGTCTCTTGATTTCAATTCCTAACATACCTCCTTTTCCAAATCCATTACAGTTCTCTGATTTCTGGTCTGAGATATCTCCTACATGAACTGTTGCAATAAATTTCTAACTTGATATATAGACTCTAGGTTTCACTCTCTTCTTACGGAGTCCTCAGAATTTCAGTTAAGCATGACCATTTAAAAAGTGTTCTTACCACAATAAATAAAAACATAGCATTTTATGTTTAATAAACCTATACTTTTAATTTCACTATATGATTTCAAATTATTTTCCCAAGTGAATATTTACTTAACAAATATCAGTTCTCAAATGTTTTTGTGCTGAACATACTCCCCAATATGAGGTATTATAGACTTTCTAGTATTTGCAAAATTAATGAGTGTAAAGTGGTATATTTTTATGGTTTTACTACAAGACGTCTGATGAGAAGAAGTAAAACTGTATTAAAAATAAATTCACACATATGTACAAACACACATATATACATAAAATATAATGCTTCTTATAAAATGCCTCTATTTAACAAGAATTTCCATTAAGGACACTGAGGAATATGTTTAAAGATCCTAATTCAGGTTCTTTTAAAATGCGAGCACTTTCTAGCCACAGGTATAGCATCCTTGATTTGTATCCTGTGTGCTAGTCACATGAATTGTTTCTTAAACATGCATGCTTGCTTATATTCATGTTCATTACAAGCATGACCATTTTGGTGAATGGAGTCAATTTCAACTCATCATTCAAGGCCAACTTCATGGTAACATCCCCTTTTGAGTCTTTCGAGTTCTCACTAACTCTCTCTCCTTGAAGCAAATTTTATATTTCTGTATCTAATGATGAACAGCATCTTATTCATGACCAGTTGGTAAATCACTCTATCACACTGAAATATGGGGAGATACACACTGTTTCCATTTCCAATTTGTGTGTGTGTGTATGTGTGTTTTAAATCAGGCACTATGTGCTATATATTCATCTGTGTATTCTTAATCCTTAGCACAATGTCAAGCATAGCAGATGCTCAATACATTTGAATTGGATTCATTTTGGAATCAATCTTTCTTAATGAATCAATATGTGGTTAGGCAAAACAGGCTCTGGGTAAACCCATAAAATATACTTAGTTCTCGGTAGTTGCAGGTCTACTTTAAAATACGTGTAGTTTAATTTTTTAATTGCTATTATAATGTTTGTAGTGTAATAAACCAAAGAGGAATTGTATTTATTTTTATTTTTTAGTGTACAGTAATGTTTTAGTGTGTGTATTTCAATTGTACAACATGATAATTTTTTTGTTTGTTTGTTTTGTTTTCAGAGATAGGGTCTTGCTCTGCCACCCAGGTTGGAGTACGGTGGCTCCATCACAGCTCACTGAAGTCTCGAGTTCCGGGGCTCGAGATCCTCCGCCCTCAGCCTCCCGAGTACCTGGGACTATAGACATGCACCACCACACCCTGCTAATTTTTCTGAAAATTTTTTTGTAGAGACGAGGTCTTCCCATCTTGCATAGTGAGCTGATTACTGTAGTCAAGCAAATTAACATATCCTTCATCTCACATAGTTACCTTTCTTTTATTGAGTGTGATAAAGAGTACTGAAAATTTACTTTCTGAGCAGATTTCCAGTATACAATACAATATTATTAACTACTGTCTTCATCTTGTACATTAGAACTCTGAATTTATTCATCCACAGAGGATGTTTAAAACACATATCGAAAATCGCCAAATAATTTAAGGAAGGCTATCAAGTATACTTTATTAAAATATATTGTCTACTTAAATGCATTTAAATAGTATAAATATACACAGAGCCATCCTAATGTTAATCTAAGTCTATCTGTCTTCTAGAGAGACATGTGATTTATATTTCATCAAATCTAAGACACAATCAGTTCTAGGAAGGTTCATTATTGATACAGCACTAAGTAGAAAAAAAACCTGATGCAATGCTATCATCTATAATTTATCATATTATATGTTATAATGTTATTCAATAAGTTATACTTACTTAAATGCAGATTTGATATTATCCAAAAAACCCATCAAAACAGAAACATATAAGCAAAATAAGTTGGATATTTCCTAAGGTATTTTACATTTAGAGTCAAATGCTTCTGAAACACTGCTACTCTGAGTCATTGAGGTCAATTTTTTTCCACACAAGACAGTTCCATCAAGAACATTGATGTGACAATTTATGGAATCTGTAAAGAACTAGTAGCCATTGAACTGCATTCTCAAGCTCATTAGGACTTATATAGAGCAGGACAACTTTTGATTCTTGTTTCAGGAATATTTTTAAATGGATTTCTGTATCACCACTTCCATCTCTTCCTCCTCAGACTATTTTTCTCCCTGCAGTTAATGCTCTGCTATTGTCTTGGAGATTTTGCTCAAAGTCACTGATATTCATTCTGAGTGTCTTGATGTTTGCAGTTTTGGAAAGTTGTGCAATCATCGATATCTACTTCATAACTGTTACCTAGACAAAAACTACTGGAAGATGCCACTGACTATAAAATGTATCCCAGCTTGGGATCTGAAAATATGCAAAAAATGTGTGATACACAGTTACAGGAATATAGCACATTTGCTGACATTAACTGCAGGATTTTACATTTTGTGTTGGATTAGGTATTAATATATTTTAAAATGTTCTCTTTTTTATTATTAAACAACTTTTTTATTTTATTATTTTTATTTTATTTTATATTTATTTTTATATTTTATATTTATTTTATTATTAAACAACTAAAAGGCCTCAAGCAAATATATATATATATATCATTTTTTATAACAACAGTATTGTTGTTGTCCTTTCATGAATTAAGCACAATATTTTTCCTCAAACTGTCATTTAGGTCAGGAATTGAAGCAGAAAGGTCAAACAGTTTCAAAGCTTTGAATCATCTCTTTCTTTAAAACAGGAAAAATATATTTTATTTAGCCAAGACAAGTTATACCATTGCTCAAAAAATAGTTTTTAAGGAAGTACCTCCCTATCAACAGAAGATCTATCTACATTTGAGTGACTTCACCAGGAAGACATCTCTAAAAATTAGTCAAAATGAGAGCAATCAGAATAAAGTACAGTAAGTTTCCTAAAATAAGCCATGTATTTAGTTATTTGGGTAACATTCAGGGGTTCTGAGGTCAACATACTGACTACAAGAACTGATAAATACTCCTGCAATGCTACTAGAGTTGTTATAATTACAAATGTCTGTTTTTTTTTCTTGGAACATTTTGCAATTCTTTAATTACTAAAACTATGTTAGTTCACCTGATTCAATAAGTCTATTAATCAAAGAGTAGCTTCTTTATAAAGGAACACTCTGCTAGCCAAGGGAGATAACACTTTGAACCTTACAGGTGGTGTTAATTTCTTGTACTCTTCCACTTCTCTGCCTAGCAAAGCCTTTGCTTCTGGGTTCCTCAAACTTACTACATCATTTTTAAAGGTTAACTGGGTATGATTCTCAACTATGCAGCATATACAACATCTTTTAGTTTTTAGAGAAGTCAAATTAATATAGATTTAGATCCTTTTTTTGTTAAGACAGTGTTTAGGGGAGTGAGGATGTGATGATGTGCTAGTCCAAGTCATCAGTTCACAGAAGTAAGATGTTAAGTTGCTTCATTTGCATCTCCTGGCTTCTTTCAGTCTCTTTTCTTTTCTTCTGGCTTCTCCAAAATATCTATGGGGTATGATTAACCTTGTGTTGCTTCTGTCATGCTACAGAATTGAAATCTCTCATAAGCATAGACGAACAATCTAAAGATGACTTTTTGTGGAAGTCAGGGATAGGAAGTGGGTTGCTGCTTTACAAAAATTTTGTCCAAGAACTAAAACAAGGAAATCTCCTTATGAAATGTACCAGTCTTATCATTTGCATCTCCTTTCCATTTCTTCTGATACTAAATATCTATTATAATTTCCTTAAAGATCCCAGGGTCATTTCTTGTTTCTTCTTTCCACCTTTCTTATTTTTCCTCCTGTCTTATTTCTTCTCCTTTTTTTTGTCTGCTTCCCTCTAATCTTTCCTACTCCTTTTCTTTCTTTCATTTCCTAAATGAACTCCTTTCCTAAGACAATTAATATACAGCTTATTGGCTCCTTAATAGTGGATAGAAAACAGAAAATTTTGAGAACAATGAACTCTGTTGAATACCATCTAAATACTAGCCTGCCACACCTGCTGTAGCACATAACAGAACTAGAGCCTGAGTAAGAGGAGACTTGAGAACAAATCATAAACTAATGAAACAAATAGATAAAGCTAATATTTTTAGTTTTTTTCTAGATTCTTAGAAAAGATCTTACATCTAGAGATCTAAAAAAAGTTGTGTTTGGGAATAGAAAAGGTAAAAAACAAAGAGAAGAGAAAAGGATAGAAAGATAAGGACAGATAAAGTTCACTGCATACAAGGGGAGTTGAAAGAGTGTTACGCAGAACATGGAAGCTTGCAGCTAAAGAATGCACCCTGGCCATACTTTCCCCCATGACTCCAGACCTGTAGGTGAGCCTAACCTGGAAATCCTTGTCTTTCCTTCCCCAAGTATATTCTCCAAGTGGCCTGAATTCTGTAACTAGTAAAACTATTTTATGTGTTTTGTTATGTGGAGGGTGGAATTTGAAAAGTTCATCCCTTTCAATCTGATTGTTCTTTGTGAACTCTTCTTCCTTTGCATGCACCAGTAGCATATTCTTTCAAATAAATTAATTGTACTCAAGTTCTGCTGAAAGAGAGAAACCAAAAGATAGGCATTGTGGAATTTAGGGGAACACAATACAAATATTCAGATGCTCATGCTCCCTTCAATATTATGGTGGAATGCATACATTTAGTCAGTTTAGCTATTCATTAAACATTTAATACCTACTCTGTGCCCAGTAGGTACAGGTGCTAAAACTTGGAAACTTGCTTCCAAAGTCAAAAAGATCGGAGTCAAAATCCAAAAAGATATCCAAATACACATGTGATTCCTCATCTGTGAAATGATAATAAAACCTATGTGATAGAGTTGCTTTGAAGACTAAATATGATAATGCAAGCATGCTTAGCAGAGTGACTGGTTTATAAGGGACTCTCTACACTTACTAGGTTCAATTTTTCTTATCCCATCTCAGATGACAGAGACTCATTCATAGTTCAGGGTATAGGAATACTCAGAGAGATTAGAAAAGGCTTCATAAAATAAATTATATTAAAACCAAACACTGCATGTTCTTATTAACAAGTGGGAGCTAAATCATGAGAACTTATGAACACAAAGAAGGAAACAATAGATACTGGTGTTTACTTGAGGGTGGAGGGTGGAGGGTGGGAGGAGGGAGAGGGGCAGAAAAGATAACTATTGGGTATTGGGCTTAATACCTGGGTTACGAAACAACCTGTACAACAAACTCCTGTGACACAAGTGTACCTATGTAACAAACCTTCACATGTACCCCTAACCTAAAGTAAAAGTTTAAAAGTATATATTCAAGCTGAATTTCTTTTTCTTCAGATTTTTAAATCAATTTCATATTTTACTTCTGTAAAATAGCTTTTTGATTATTAGAAATGATATGTGTCCAGTGTAAAAAACTTGCTACAAAGCTATAACATTAAGAGCTAATATTCATAGAAGGTAATGTCCTAATCCTATGATTTAAATTTTATTATTATATCAGTATTCTAACTTGACAGATGATAAAACTAAAGCACATAATGGTTACATAAATAGTTCTGTGACACAGAGGTGCCAAGAGAAGAAAGTAAAACTCAGGCAAAATCCTACTACAGGGAAATAATCAATGACATATGTGAGCTAATTCTATGCTAAGATTAAAATATAGTAGTATGCATAATAAATTGTATACAATAGTCTGTACTTATAAAGTGCTCTCTTATACATTTTTCTTTCAAAGATATTTCCAAAAGTACCTTTAATTTAAATATAATTACAAGTAAACAATCTCATTTTTAGTGACTGTATGATATCTATTATATATATCACCCATTTACTTAAATTCCTAATGACAGAACTACAAAATTGTTCCCAAATACTCACTTTGGTAGAAAACACTGAAATTAATATCTTAGTGTCAATATTTTCCCTCCACCATTTCTGAAGTAAATAGATTTGCTGGAGAAAGGGTTATAACTTGCTAATACATATTGCTAAATATCTTCTAGAGCATGGGAACTGATTTACAAAAGCTTTTAAAATAGCCATTCCCTGTATCTTGGTGAAATCTCTGTATTATAATTGTTTGGTCTATTCCCAGTAACATTAAAAAGAAAACTTTATCTTGACTCTGGACAATTATTCTTTATCTTTTAAGGATAATTCTGGGTGTAGTTTGCAAGTGGTCTATAGAATTTTGTTCACCACATATAAAAATATGCTCTTTTAAGATTTTTTTTTGGTTTAGCATTGAATTAGTATTTAAGTAGAAATACATATTTAAAATATTGAATCTTATCCAATAACATTTGTAGATTTTTCAAATTTATTCAGCATTCTTTTAAATCTTTTAACAGAGTTTTATCTTTCTAGAGTACAAATCTTACACATTTCTTATAAGCTTTATCACTAGGTACACAAACACCAGGCTAGGATTGGGGGTAGGTCTGAAAGTATTCTGAAGAGTACATTGTAAACTGAAGAAACATATGTAGGTCATGTGCAAATTCTTAGGCAAACGTCATTATGGGATATTCTAAAAGCTTCATATTGCTAAGCATGACTGATGAACAGGGAAGTTAGAGACCACTCTTTTTTACTTGTGACTTTGTTTTAAGAAAACTATACATTTTTTATTTTTACTTTGTCTATCAAAGTTATCTAAACTGGCTGCTGTTCGGGTAGTTATAGCCTAGTGCATTAAAAAGGCCAATTCTGGCCGGGCGCAGGGGCTTACACCTGTAATCCCACTACTTTGGGAGGCCAAGGCGGGCGGATTATCACGAAGTCAGGAGATAGAGACCATCCTGGCCTGCTTGGTGAAACTCCATCTCTACTAAAATACAAAAAATTAGCCGGGCCTGGTGGCGCATGCCTGTAATCCCAGCTACTTGGGAGGCTGAAGCAGGGGAATCGCTTGAACCTGGGAGGCAGAGTTTTCAGTGAGTTGAGATCACGCCATTGCATTCCAGTCTGGCGACAGAGCAAGACTTCATCTCTAAAGAAAAAAAAAAAAAAAAGATCAATTCCGGCCGGGCGCTGTGGCTCAAGCCTGTAATCTCAGCACTTGGGGAGGCCGACGTGGGCGGATCACAAGGTCAGGAGATCGAGACCATCCTGGCCAACATGGTGAAACCACGTCTCTACTGAAAAAATACAAAAATGAGCTGGGTGTGGTGGCACGCGCCTGTAATCTCAGCTACTCGAGAGGTGGAGATTGCAGTGAGGCGAGATCACGCCACTGCACTCCAACCTGGCGACAAAGCGAGACTCCATCAAAAAAAAAAAAAAAAAAAAAAGTCCAATTCCATTTTTGATGTTTGGGAATTGATGGTTTTTCAATCCTCATTCTTCTTCCCAGAGTGCACATCAGAGTGACTAAGAAGGCCCTCTCACCTTTTGCCTCTGTAGAAAGGTGGGGATATCAAGCAGCACAGCTTCTAGCCCAAGGGCAGGACATCCCTACCCTGGCTGCACCCAGACCAAAACAAAAGCCGCAAACAAGTCCCACCCTTTACTGACCTTCTCACTAGAGCCCTGCTTGAGCCCTTCCCTCCTTCCCTTTCTGGGACTTTCAGGCTTGTTATAAGTATTAAACACACTTTATGCGTGGTTATAGGTGAGTGTCTTAATGACATGTATCTCAACATTCAAATAAATTCCTGGTTGGGCAATCTTCTGCCTCCAGTTAGACTGATCAAACAGTTGAGTCTAGCTTAGAATAAGTAATTGTTTTCCTTCCTGCCTTTCACATGGTGAAGTTCTGGTCAGTGGTGTAGGTCAAGATGATGCATTATACTTCCAGACCTGGCTCAATCTTTACAGCTTGATCTTAGGGAGCATTTTCTTTTCCTTTTTTTGAGATGGAGTTTTGTTCTTGTTGCCCAGGCTGGAGTGCAATGGCGCAGTCTCAGCTCAATGCAACTTCCACCTCCCAGGTTCCAGTGATCCTCCTACCTCAGCCTCCCAAGTAGCTGGGATTACACATGCCTGCCACCACGCCTAACTAATTTTTGTATTTTTAGTAGAGATGGGGTTTCACCATGTTGGCCAGGCTGGTCTCGAACTCCTGACCTCATGTGATCTGCCCACCTCAGCCTCCCAAAGTTCTGGGATTACAGGCGTGAGCCACCACGCCCAGCCTTAGGGAGCATTTTCTTCTCAATTCTTCCTGGTGAGATGCTGATAGCACAAGGTGTAAGGATGTGTAGATGATGGAAGCTCTTGTTATTCTGGGTCCCCAATATTAGTGATTGAGTCCAGCCTACTTTCCGTCTCTGCCATCAGTTGTGGGACTTTATGAGATTTTGGAGTTTATTTGTCACAGCAGCTAGCATTATATTAACTAGTATGCTGTTCATAATATGTAGTTAAATAAATTATAACAAATGTTATTGAGGACAAATATTTTGCCTCTTCAGATTACTGGAAATTTCCCAACATTATTTTAACAACAGAACCTGTGAGTCCCAACTCAAAAATATGGACTTTTAAATAAGTAATATCAAAATAGATCGAAGCATTTTAACTCTATTAAATAATGTTTTTATAATAAGCTCATTCATAGATGATATTCAAATTTACCTTTACTTAAATTATTCACCTGTAAAATAATTACATAAGTACACCACTTAATTTTGAATATTTAAACTTGTCCTCAGAGTCCCAAGTATTATAAGAATGCAATGGCAAACCATAGTCTTGATGATTATTTTCCTCTGGGCATTGCGTTGATGGAAAGATGTAGAAAGACATAGTTGGCTGGGTGTGGTGGCTCAGGCCTATAATTTCAGCACTTTGAGAGGCCCAGGGAGAAGGATCACTTGAGGTCAGCAGTTTGAGACCAGCCTGGCCAACATGGTGACACCCCATCTCTACTAAAATTACAAAAATTGGCTGGGTGTGGTGTTACACACCTGTAATCCCAGCTACTTGGGAGGCTGAGGCACAAGAATCACTTGAACCTGGGAGGCAGAGGTTGTAGTGAGCCAAGGTACAAGGTTGCACCACTGCACTCCAGCCTGGCCAACAAAGTGAGACCCCCATCTCAAAAAAGAAAAAGAAAAGAAAAGAAAAAAGACTGATAGTTGAAAAGGAAGGTTGAAACCCATCTTTCAGGAAGAAAACATCTCAATACCTCTCTGATCCATTAGGATTAATTATTTTCTATGATTATTAACAGATTTACCACTCATAAAATATTCTTTACCTAACACAGTTCAGCTGGGCGTGGTGGCTCACGCCTGTAATCCCAGCACTTTGGTAGGCTACGGCAGGTGGATCACGAGCTCAAGAGTTCAAGACCAGCCTGGCCAAGATGGTGAAACCTTGTCTCTACTAAAAATAGAAAAATTAGCTGGGAGTGGTGGCAGGCACCTATAATCCCAGCTACTTAGGAGGCTGAGGCAGGAGAATGGCTTGAACCCAGGGCGCGGAGGTTGTAGTAAGCCAAGATTGCACCGCCACGCTCCAGCCTGGGCAACAGAATGAGACTCCATCAAAAAAACAAACAAACAAACAAACAAAAAACAACAACAAAAATGCATATAATAGAAAGAGAAGTAATCAGGAGATAATATTCTGGTTTTTTATATGCTGTGTCACTGAGTTTAAGGATAAACAGCTAAGATAATTCAATTAATTCTAGCTGAACATATGCTTTAACCATAAGAAAACTGTTTGATTTTCTATTTTAAAATATATTCTGGTGAGTTTGGAGGGAGCTAAGCTCAAGTAACGCAAAGGTATACTCAGATTTTTGTTCATTGTTATGTGTCTTTGGTATTATTATTACCTAAAATGTGAGATAACAAGTTGTAAAAAGTTTACAGTAAGCATTAGTTTATTTTATTACTAATTGTAATAAAACTTCATTAAATAAAAAAAATTAAGTGTAAGTTAGCTGGGTACAGTTGTTCACACCTATAATTCCAGCACTGTGGGAGGCTGAGGTGAGAGCATTGCTTGAGGCCAGGAGTTCAAGACCAGCCAGGGCACCATAATGAAACCCCATTTCTACAAAAAAAAAAAAAAAAGAAGAAGGAAATTATCCAGGTGTGTGACGTATACCTGTGGTTCCAGCTTCAGCTACTCAGCAGGCTGAGGTGGGAGGATTTCTTGATCCCAGGAGGTTGGCTCTGCAGTGAGCCATGATCCCACATTGCACTTTAGCCTGGACAACAGGACGAGACCGTGTCTCTGAAAACAAACAAACAAGCAAACAAACAAAGTCACCAAAAAAAAGTTCAAATCAGTGGAGAAAATTATAGTTGTGAGGTTTGAATGAAGCTCCCAGTGTTAAAGGGTTTGGGTTTCATTTGCCAGAAACTTACTCTTTTATCTTCAAAAGTACACGTTTTACCTTTGTGATCCTCTTTTTTCCATGAAACCTCTTACATTTCTATAATTATGTTATATGATATATCTAACAATATTTAGTAACAAAAATATATGAATGAATCTGGAAAAATCTTACTGGTTTTGTAGAGTTAGCTTTTATCTCTCACTCTTCTTCATATTTCCTAAGTGTTCTGAAGTGAAAAATACAGTACTGTCTTTTTAAATGACCATTGCAAAGATAATGGTATTCACCATGAAGTTTAATTTTTAGGGAACATGTAAAAGAAACCTAGATGCCAGGATTTTAAAGACAATCACTTAGGATTTTTTAAACTGTAGGTAGCATTGTATGTGACTGCATAAGGTCTGAGAATTATGTTAGCATATCTTTTGTGCTGAGAAACTCCAGTTTACAATGACAGCTCTTGATAATCAGTTCTGGGATAAACATTATTCTGGATCCTTATATTTTTAAATAGTGCTAAAATCAACAGAAGTAGATGAAATATTCTATAGCAAGGCATTTTCTAGTTATTTTCCAAAGATTTTCGATGCAAAAATAGACTTCCATGGGAATATTAAAATAAAAAGGCTTGTTTAAAAATTTAAAATATGAGAATATATCTAAATCCAGAAAGAAATATAATAAATCTCTTCTGACTCATCCTCAGTCCAAACCTATTTTTAAATCAAAAGACTTAGCTTATTTTTTCAAGGATAGCATAAATATGCATGAAAAATGCAAAAGACCTTGATATTCAGATTTTGACCTTTTTGAATATGCCTTATGAATTTATTTCCACATATTGCCATTTAAGTTCACTTTCCTGTGTCTTAAGCACACATATTTACTGACCATTTAAATTACTTACCAACACTTATCCCTGAGAGTGTATTTACATTTTCGTCTTTGTCTATAACTGACTTTTTATCTCTTCTCATTCTAGAATATATTATTCCCTGACCATGCTTTCCTCTGGATCACATTGAAAACCAGTTTCTATTCCCTAGAATTCTGGCCTTTTCTATTCTCGAATATTATCCTAAAGTTCAGGTTTTTGTTTTGTTTTATTTTGGCCTTTGTTTTGCTTTTTTTAAAAAAAAATATTTTTTGTCAAGTGCTTTAGCGTTGGGAAAAACATCTGTTCAATTCTGGCTCTTTCACATATCATTATATGAAATCAGGGAGATTTAAGGCTATGAAAATTTTACAAAAGCTTTCCTTATCTGTCAGCATAGCAAATGAAATAATGGAAGATAGTGTAGTGCTGTGCTGCAGAATAATAACTATCATTATTTTGTTATTATTATTACTCTCATTTTTATCCAATGATGTTTACATTAGAATTATTCCTAAATACAATGAAAAAACTATATCACTAAGATCACTGATGAAAAAATAGAAGACTTTGTAGTTTTAGAATGAGGTTGGAGCAGGAAATTGAAAAATCTGCCCTAAAGATCCATGCACCCAACCATGGGAGACCTGCAGAAGTAGCTGGGGACCCTGTAAAGAAGTTAATTTCTATAACCTTACGGAATTAATATAAATGTCATTTTATTGTTTTAGTAGCTGTCTGGTAAACCTGCGCATAATGATTATTCGATACTATTATCAATTTCATTTTTCTATATATTAATATTGCCAGCATTGCAATTGGACAAGGTAAACTTTAGTTTGAAGATAAATCCTTACTAAAGCACCACAAAGAACTTTTTCTTAATAATAAGCATGATTAATAAATATGATTCTACCACTCAAATGAATGAAGGATGGAAAAAAGGAAGGGAGATAACACGTGGGGGTATTTTATCTGCTCTATCGGTACTTTCACTTATATTACATCATCCTGTCAACACTTCTGTTTTTATGGTACTAATACATACTGTCTTCACAATAAACTGCAAAGTTTCATAGTAGCTTTCCAGATAGTGATGAAATCACAAGGGTATCTTGCCTCCTAATGCTGGTTTGTGATACAGTCAAGTTCTTCTAACTGCAAAGTCAATACCATTTCCGTTACACAATCTGGTGAGGATATAAGTCTTAGTAAATGTCAGTTATTATATGAGATAATTCTTTCAATGAAAATAACAGAGAAGAAATTGTCCCAATAATGTCCTAAATTAATTATCTCAATTTCTGTGTAGATAATATTTCTGTAGTTTGTTATGGAGTATAAAGCTTTATAAAATTTTTATAAATTCAGCAAATATTAAAAATAAATTATAGAAGAGTTTAATATATTATCTTTAAATTGTAACATTTTTTCACTCATGTTGTAATATTACTTCACTTGGAAACTATAATTTAGAAACTATCTATCTAGTTAGTAGAGTTTCTTAAAATGACCTAGGAATTTTTATGCTTTTGTAAGAAAGAACTCCAGACTAAGATGTTAAAGGGTACACTAACTTATTTGCTAAGCTACTCTGTTTCAGGCATTTAAAAATTCTGGAAACTAGAAATGTTTATAAGTTATTTTTCCCTTTATTTTGAATTATCAGTCTGTTATTACATTTAAGATATTTAAGAATAAAATCAGAATATTTGTTCACATTTTGACTCTGGATGTACAGACAAAGGAATGCACATGCATATATTTTGTGATCAGATTGATAACCTGAAAGATAACCACAAGTTAATAATGAATTACTTCATTCATACAACAAATTTTAATTTAACATTACTATATGCCAGTAACTAGATTAGTGACCACAACTGTGAGTGGAACAGTCAAAGTCCTTGTTATGAAGTTTAAAATCCAGCCTGGGCAGTAGCTGTTAAAAAAAGGAAATTCTACCATTACATATAAATTACAAATATAATACATGGCACATATTGTGAAGAAAGAGAAACTTCTAGTTTCCTCAAAACCAACCCAGTGTATGTCTTTTGTGCTAATGCCTGATATAATTTATAAGCAATTCTTTCACTTTTAAAAATGTCTTGGTTAGAAAAAACGTGTAACAAGAACTGTAAGTAACTTTTAAACATCCTTTCATTACTGAAATGAACCGTTGGTCATGTCGTATTTTTGTTGATTTGATATTATCTTCTGCTTGCTAGTATTTTGTTTAGAACTTTTGCATTTACTATACGTAAGTGAAGTGAATGCTTAGGATGTTTAGTGTGTATGTGTGTGTGTACAGTCTTTATAAGGTGAAAGCAGTAAAGTTAAATTTGGTTTTTCTATTCCTTTAAGTATCCTTTAGATTGCTTGGTTTGAAATTTGGCATATTTTTTGTAAAATCATTTTTTGAGGGATCTTTGATAACATTCTCTATTTGTTTTCTGTGGAATTAACTCTTAAGAGTTTTTTTTTTTAACTGGGGTAATATTAATAAATTATAGTTTCCTAAAGAGTTATCAGTTTCTTCAAAAATATTTATATGAAGATGTTAAACTAATATACTGAGTATTTTAAGTTTTTCTCTTTTGATGATTATTCTTTTAGTTCATATTTTGTATATTAATGATTTATATATTAATATTTTTAAAATTAGGTTAGTGAGATATGGCTTGTTATTTCTAAGTGCTCTGTTTTCTACTCATAAATAAATGTATTTTATACTGAATAGATTTCTTTCTGTTTCCTTTATTTTGTTGTTCTTTTTCTAAGTTCTTAATTTTTAAGGAAAATTCTTCTTTTTACTTTTTTTCCATGCCGAGGCTTATGTTATGGCATAATAAATGCCAATTCCAGCCATGGTTTATTGCTATTCTTGCTGTTTTTCTAAACACTGCTGTGTAAGCTGATTTTTGTGTGTAAGTATGTACAAAGTCGAAGGTGTCATAAGCCAAGTCATTCGCTTAACCCCATCCACAGAGCAACATTGCTTACTGGACTCTTCAGTAGTTCTCTTTTCCAGGTGACATTGAGAGTATAATAAAATACTTCACTTTGATGAATTTAGGCACCAAGAAAATCTATAATGTAATTCAGCAGCAGTGCTCAATATATAGGAAACGGTATTTCCAAACAAGACACTTAAAAGTAAAACTTGCTTTAGAAAATTTGTCACATTTAAGTCTGAAAAATCAGGCCAAGTGTGATCCATTATATAATGATTTTCTATTTTAATTTTAGTTATGTTCATTTCTACATCGCTTTTCAGAATCTATGGAGTTAATTAGGACAATAATATGAAATCAATTTTGATGACCTTTTCTTCTTAGTCACTAATATTCACTGTGTCCTCATGAAGGTCCACTTCTATCCTCTTATAAAATTAAGAGTAAAAACATATAACTTGGCATCCAGTGTCATCACCCTAGTGCAGAAACCATTGTTTTTGGTCTGAGTAATTGCAATATATCCTTAGCTGATCTCCGTGTTTTCACATTTGCTTTACTCAATTCATTCTTTCACTGTAGCAAGAACAATCTTTAAAAACATAAATCTGATAATTCCACTTCAAATTAAAACATCTCAATGGCTTCACATCCTCTTAGAGGTAAATCTGAAATCATTAACACAAACTGTAAGGCCTTGTGATGAAGATAATGCACCCATATGCCACTAATTTCATCAGACTCCAAGTTTTGCCTCCCTTACTTTGGCCTTTGTATCGATTCCTTACAGAGGACAAGTTCTTTTTCCATCTGGGAACCTTGTGCACTTGATTACTGTCACCTATAATAGTCACATTTTTAATTATTTCTCCTTTTCTAGGTATCCATCTTTGGGCCATTTTTCTCAGAGGGGCATATCGTAGCCATCCAATCTGTAGCACCTCATTTTTCTGTCATTTATCACAAGTTGTAATTAAAGATTTAATGATATGATTATGTACCATCTGCTTTCACTATTCTCTTAATTCCAATTGCATGAATTATGTCTGTTCACCAATGTATATCCAGCATATCTTAGCACAGTGGCTAGCCATAGTCCTTTGAAATGTTGTTTTTGATAGATGGTTTGAATATTACCTTACTTTTAGTAAATTTCTTTTATATTGCTATCTTGTTCTATGACAACCAGGGCTGGCAGATTATCATTATTTATATGTTGTATATTAAAAAAAACTGAATATTAAAAGGCACTCTAAATCCCAAAGTCATATAAATTCAGAAGATAAGCTTATTTAAATTCCCATTTCCCATTAACTACAGTGGTGTTTGTTTATTTCTATTCTTGTAATGAGCTATTTAATTGGACAACTCAAGAAGGCTATGAAACTCCATAGCTGGGGTGACCATAAAAATTATTACATTTAAAAAAAATTGGTCTGAATTTTATCGTGAATGAAATAAAAATTAACCTTTGAGAACTTCACATGTAAAATGACTATGTATTTATTAATTTTGCTGCTATATTCAGACCACAATGCTGGAGTTGAAAAAAATTATACTATCTACCTCATAATTATTTTGATATAAATTTTAAATTATAAAAAAGTCTGAAATGCTCATAGTTGCTCAAAGAAAATATGAAAATAGAAAACTGAGTAACAGCACATGCTAAAGTACAAAATTCATATTAGAAGTGAGCATAAGATTAAAACAAAATTCAAGAGAAATTAAGATTTTCCCATCCTTGAAACGTAAGAAACATAGCTCTCCAGAGTCAACATAAAGAGAACACCATGCCAATTAATGTGTGGCATCTTCAACAATGCTTCTACAGTAACTACCATAATGAGTTTCCTAGGGATGTGTACTCACTATTCCTCAATATAGCCAGACAGAATAAAAACAAAAATTAGTTCTATGTGGAACTAACATGATAGCATCTTAATAAACTGAGGCAGAACCATCACTGGGGTTTTTTGTTAAGTCATCTTATTTGAGCAAACAGAATGGCAAGTTAAATACAAACAAGCTTATTGTGGTTATTTAGAACATATTATGCCAAGCAATAAGTCTATTCTAAAAAGAAGTCTCTTTTTTTTTTTTATACTTTAAGTTTTACGGTACAAGTGCACAACATGCAGGTTAGTTACATATGTATACACGTGTCATGTTGGTGTACTGCACCCAGTAACTCGTCATTTAACATTAGGTATATCTCCTAATGCTATCCCTCCCCCCTCCTCCCACCCCACAACAGGCCCTGGTGTGTGATGTTCCCCTTCCTGTGTCCATGTGTTCTCATTGTTCAATTCCCACCTATGAGTGAGAACATGCGGTGTTAAAAAGAAGTCTCAAGTATCAAATTTAAATAGTTATTTCTGCTTTTAAGTTAAACATTTCTGTTCTCTGTGTATACTCTAGTGAGTGACAAGAACAGCTAGCAATAGATGTACCAGTATTACTCTCGGGAGTTTGATATGACAAATACAAGATTATCTAGGAACCAATCATACCATAGCTCTTTCTTCAGTTTTAGTATATTGAAAAGATTCCTTCATAGTTGGTTTTAACCCTTATACATAGCTTGCTGTGTTTGATATTTCAGGCAAACTACTATTCTAAAAGACTATTTGAAATACTAGTACTTTCATTTAATATTAACCTTGTTAGAATGGCCATTTTGTCATCTGTCAAGTAAGAAAGACTAGGGTATTTAATTGAAGGAATGTAGCTTTATTTTTATCCCCTAAATTCTCAAATTTTGTTAGGAAGAGCGCCATAATATATATTAGCAGTTAAATTCATACGCTTATTTTGAAGTCAGATACAATTCTATTATATGACTATCCTGAGAATTACTCACTAGAGTAGTGAATTTAGTAGGTAAGATTAGATGATATCATGCACTATCTGAACAAGCTATAAATTCTATGACTCAGTAGCCTCATTAGTTTCTGTATCAAGGCCTCAGAGGCTAATGATCTCACACATATCTAAAATAAGACAGAGAAAGCAATAACAGTTCTTTACAATTTTGTCACCCTGAGGCAATGAATATTATCGTTATCTGGTTATTTATTGATGAGAAATGTTAAAAACTCTAGTTAAATTTATGTATTCCCTCCTGAAGTCAGATTGTTAAAAACACTAATTTTATGTATTACCTCCTAGAGCCAGATTGCTAAAACTTGAAGTGTTTTGGGTTGGAGTGCATCAAAATATTCCACAACTATTTCAACTATTATAACACTGAATGAAAGCTGTTTTTGATAAAAGTTGTTCCATTTTATGAAACATTTAGCTTGAATTTGTCACAATAGATGGGATTTGGTTTAAACGGAATGTTATATAAGCCTTTAATAAAGATTTAAATGAAATTTATTTAGGAACAAGGAAACCAAACTAAAGCCAATTTTAGCTTCTCTATCATTTTTAATTATTATTTCCTAGAATAAGAGCTTCTAACCAGTAAGGCTTTTTTATGTCTTACGCAAACGACAAATAGCAATGTTTTCAAGTGTGTTTGCTAACAATGACAAACAATAAAGACAACTTCCTAAAATCCTAAAGCCAACAAGGAAGAAAAATTGTTTCAGCAGCATATGGTAGAAATAGAGTTTTTTGTCACAGCAGAAAAAGTAAATGATTGGCAACAGGTTCAATTTATGAATATACACATCAAAAATGTGTGATATCTCAGTAATTAAATTGTAGACAATAGCATATCCCCAAGTGTAAGGTAGCATATAATGTTATCAACAGCTAGGTGAAATTATCCAGCTTGTGACATCATCCAGAATGTGATAAAATAGGTAAAGATAAATTACTTTTTTCAAGCCGCATAAACAAAGGATAAGGAGTAAAATAAGAGAATATTACTATTAAATAATTACTGATATTTTTCATTTTAAATTAAGTTATTTAGTTATCTGTTCATTCTAAGAATCATAAATAAACATAATATCAAAATAATACTTTTTCTGGTTATCTATATATACAGAATACTTTTATGGCTGGAAAATTAATTTGTTTAATTAGCTAAGATTACTCAATGGAGACTTTGTAGTGCAGTGAAATTGGCTTTAAATATAAATTCTACAATGTGTTATCATAGTAAACTAAAAGCAAGCTACTTAAATCTTGCTAAACTCTATTTATAGTTTTCTCACCATAATAGTGACATAGCAACAAAAATGGACATAAATTTACAGTTTGAACTAAGAACTAAGATATCATATATAAAAAAACAAAGCAAACAAATAAAATTCCAAATTATTTGAACATCAGCCACACAAGTGTTATCTGTGGACTGAAAGATTTAACCAAATATAATTCTTATTTATTCTTTTTTTGACAGAGTAGTATATTTCAAGCCATTCTAGTTGAAATTTTTCTTAATGAGCTTCTTTTACTTGAAATTTTGGAAAAAGTAGAAATAGATCATAAAAGTCAGAACCACTATATATGGATGACTTATATGCAGAGTTACTATTAGTTGATTTTGACATATACATTCATTCCAGTAATATTATAATTGTGCTTCTCATTTGAAAGTGAATCTAACCTCATCATTAGAAATTTCATTTACTCTACACATTAAGAGCATCTGTCTTAGTATTACCTTTTTAGCTTCCACAAATATTCTCAATTAGTTGCTTGTCTTTTGAAGTACACAAACTACAGACTGTTCCGCAATGACAATTTCTCATGTATAAACTATGCATTCAACAAAGGTCTAATATTCAGAATCTATAAGGAACTTAAATTTACAAACACAAAACAAACAACCTCATCAAAAAATGGGCAAAGGACATGAACAGACACTTGTTAAAAGAAGACACACACATGGCCAACAATCATATGAAAAAATGCCCACATAACTAATCACTACAAAAATGCAAATCAAAATCATGAGATAGCATCTCACACCAGTCAGAATGACATTATTAAAAAGTAAAAAAAAAAACAGATGCTAATGAGGTTGCAGAGAAAAGAGAATGATCATATACTGGATGGGAATGTAAATTAGTTCAGCCACTGTGAAAAGCAGTCAAGAAATTTCTTATGAAACTTAAAACAACTACCATTCAATCCAGCAATCCCATTACTGGATATACACCCAAAGGAATATAATTCATTCTGCCATAAAGACATATGTGCTCATATGTTATTCTCAGCACTATTCACAATAGCACACACATGGAGTCAACCTAGATGCTCATCAATAGTGGACTGGATAAGGAAAATGTGATACATATACTCCATGGGATACAATGTGGCCATAAAATGAATGAAATCATTTGCAGCAACATAGATGGAGCCAAAGGTAATTATTCTAAATGAACCAATGCAGGAACAGAAAATCAAATACCACGTTTTCACTTATAAATTGGCGCTAAACATTAAGTACACATGGATACAAAGAAGGGAACAATAGACACCAGGGCCTACTTGAGGGTGGAGGGGAGGAGAAGGGTGAGGATCCAAAGACTACTTATTGGGTACTATGCTGATTACTTCAGTGATAAAATAATCTGTAACCTCAACCTCTGCAACATGCAATTTACCCATGTAACAAACCTGCACATGCACCCCCGAACCAAAATAAAAGTTTTGGAAAGAAAAAATAAATACATTAATTAATTAAAACAAAATAAAAATAACATTAAACACAGGTCGTATTACATCATTCTTCTGTAGTCAAATCAGTAATATTATTGTGAAAATTAAAAATATCATATTTTAATTTTTAAATTTCAACTCACTCTGGGACTTCTTTTCCTTTTACTTAAGATAATCTCTAGATGATTTCTAAATTTCCTTCATAGGCCACTTTTTTTTAACTCTATGTATGTAAGTATTTCAGCTTATGTCTTATATTTATTAGAAACTAAATAGAGCAATTTTACATTTTTAATAATACCAGAAGCAGAAAGATTAAATACAAAAATAATTTTTAAACCATGTTTCAATCTCTATTTTACAGAAAACACAGGAGAGAGATCAAAATAAATGACTCCTACATTCAAAAATAAACATGGAATTTAAATGTCATCATCATGGGCTTACAAAAAAAGCAAATCCCAAATTTAGAGTTTATATGTAAAGCTGCTGTGTTTCTCAACATTATGAATGGGCCTCATCATGTTAACATAGTAAAGTCTATGAATCCAAAATATAAGCTAATATTATTGTATGTGAGGAAATTAATCAATATAAATATATCTTGAATGCTCATGCACAGCAAACAAAAAGGAATATTAAAGAAAATATAAAGATAAAATATAATCTTTTCTAATTTGCATACTTTCAAAATGCTATAGAAAAGTATTTCCAAAGTGGTGAGGCTCTGTTCACTTCTGGCTCAAGTCAGGTTCACAACTCAAGCCTGTTTGTCAGCCTCTATTGAAATACATCATGTCAAATAATTCTTCTTGAAAAGGGGCTCATTAAATATTTACGTTCTTGCCCCATAGGAAAGGTGTTTTTGTTTATATTTGCATTTAATCTAACCACACATTCAAGTAAAACTCCCCATGATAGTAATCTGAACAATTTCACCTTCATTTTTCCTTCAGTATATACGGTGAGGCATGGAATTCACAACAGCAATGCTATTGCTTATGGAAAACATATATATATACACACACACACATATATATGTATATATACATATAGAATGTTGAAAAACACAGCAGCTTTACATATAAACATATACATATATAGTATATATTTGTGTATATATATATACAAAAGGGTATATATGGACATGTGTGCATGTGTGTGTGTGTGTGTGTGTTTCTGATTTTCTCAATGCCTTTATATTTTTTTCTGGCTTGCAAATCCCTGAGGTTAAAATCCTATTTAAAGTTCACATTTGAGTTTATAATGGTTCTGTTTGTGTACTGATTTAGATTTAATCAGAATGCAAAATAAAAAGAACACATAACCTTTTACATCTAAAACAGATTACATAACGTTTATAATTAATAAACATTACCCCATGGGTAAATGGCATTCTGCATGACAATTTTATAGCATCATTAATATCAGTGGAAAATGTCAAAGTACCCAAATGTCAAAACATTTTATTTACCTTGCGAATATTGTACTTATAAAAAATGGTGTCACACCTGTGAATTGATACTAAAGTTATCATGGAATTTGGGAAACAATTTATAAGCACATGATGAAGGAGTTAAATTATTACCTAAACTTATACAAGACCTCCATGAATAGTGTGTTTTTAAAAGCTGAATTTTTAGCTGAGTTTGTAATGTCAATTTAGAATTAATGAAGGTATTGTAGTGTGTAAATATGTGATTTGCCAGGGAGAAATAAGAATAACCCAACAATTTGCTGAGTATGGATTCAAATCAAACTCTTAGGCTATGATAATTGTAGCTAACAGTTTTGCTGACTGAGGGCTCAATTGGAAAACAGACAAAGTTAATTATTCTATAATATATTTAGAACTCCATTGTTGATCATTATTTCACTTCATTTCAATAACTGAAACTTGATCGCTCGAATGAAAGTCTCTTTGGATATTCTCCAATATAGGCCATTTATACCATCTTTTAAAAATATTTCTACTGGAAAAATAATTGTGTTTTTCAAGCTTCCTTCTCAATCTTGAAAATCTTTCTGCTTCTTCTCACCTAACAAACAGTCTCATTTTTGAAGGTCATTTATGACATACTGACCCCTAATATCACAAATACTTCACAGTATTCCTTATTTCTTCCTTCCTTCTTATTTTTTTTTTCATTCCTTGTCTGTACCTTCACAGAGTTTGTGAATTCTCAATGTTACTTAATGTGACTTAGGCACAGTGCTATATACTAAGGTTAAAACATTAAATGAGATACAGTTTCTGCTTTCAAGAAGATTTAAACTCCAGCCTCTTCCTTGTCATTGCTTTTGGAAGATTCATCATTCACGTTAAAGTATCTTCTATACTCTGTTTTCTAGCTGCTTTGATCACTTCAAGTCTAATCACATCACTTGACACCTCATTTTCTTCATGCCCATTATCTACATTCTAAATAGAATCTCTTTTTCTTAATTCTTCAAAGTTCACTTCAATATTCCTCTTTCATAAAATGCTTGCTGAATGTTAACGTCTACATCTTGTAGCATTGTCTGTCAAAAATAGAATATTTTACCAAAATATTCATACCTGAAATAAACAAATAATCATTCAGGGCCTAGTATACACCAGGAATACATTTACTTTTATTATTGGCTTATATGTTGACCATGACCTCCTCATATGCAAACAAACATAAATTATCTTTGAAACTGCATCTCTGCCTAGAAGAACATCTTGTTACCTTTTTAATTAATATTTCTTGGAATGAATCTATATTCTTCAAAACAATACTAAGGATGGTATTATCATCCCGTAAATCTGTTAATATGTCTGGAATGATTAAATTATCCCACAAATGATCACTTGCATTAAGCTAAGTAGATAACCAACATCAACATGTCAAAAAGGAGTATTTACTGTCTTTGTCACATACATTTCATATCTATGTAATGAAATAAATATAAAATCTAATAAGGTATCTGTAATAGTTATTTTAAGTCAATAACAGAGACAGCATTAAAATGTTTCAAAGAGCAATATTTGCATTTTTTTTCTATTTTTTATTATATTTCAAGGTCTGGGATACACATGCAGAATGTGCAGGTTTGCTACGTAGGTATACATGTCCCATGGTGGTTTGCTGCACCCCCTCAACCCATCATCTACAGTAGGTATTTCTCCTAATGATATCCCTCCCCTTGCCCCTACCCCCCAACAAGCCCCAGTTTGTGATGTTCCCCTCCCTGTGTCCATGTGTTCTCATTGTTCAACTCCCACTTACAAGTGAGAACATGCGGTGTTTGGTTTTCTGTTCCTGTATTAGTTTGCTAAGAATGATGGTTTCCAGCTTCATCCATGTCCCTACAAAGGACACGAACTCATCCTTTTTTATGGCTGCATAGTATTCCATGGTGTATAGGTGCCTCATTTTCTTTATCCAGTCTATCATGATGGGCATTTGGGTTGGTTCCAGGTCTTTGCTATTGTGAACAGTGCTGCAATAAACACAGGTGTGCATGTGTCTTTACAGTAGAATGATTTATAATCCTTGGGGTATATATCCAGTAATGGGATTGCTGGGTCAAATGGTATTTCTAGCTCTAGATCCTTGAGGAATTGCCACACTGTCTTCCACAATGGTTGAACTAATTTAGACTCCCACCAACAGTGTAAAAGCGTTCCTATTTCTCCACATCTTCTCCAGGATCTGTTGTTTCCTGACTTATTAATGATCACTGTTCTAACTGGCATGAAATGGTAACTCATGGTGGTTTTGATTTGCATTTCCCTAATGAACAATGATGATGAGCTTTTTCTCATATGCTTGTTAGCCACATAAGTGTCTTTTTTTGAAAAATGTCTGTTCATATCCTTTGCCAACTTTTTGGTGGGATTTTTTGTTTTTTTCTTGAAAATTTGTTTAAGTTCCTTGTACATTCTGGATATCAGCCCTATGTCAGATGGAAAGATTGCAAAAATTTTCTCCCACTCTGTAGGTTGCCTGTTCACTCTGATGATAGTTTCTTTTGCTGGGAAGAAGCTCTTTAGTTTAATTAGATCCCATTTGTCAATTTTGGCTTTTGTTGCAATGGCTTTTGGTGTTTTAGTCATGAAGTCTTTGCCCATGCCTATACCCTGAATGATATTACCTAGGTTTTCTTCTGGGGTTTTTATGGTTTTAGGTCTTACGTATAAGTCTTTAATCCATCTTGAGTTAATGTTTATATAGGTGTAAGGAAGAGGTCCAGTTTCATTTTTCCGCATATGGCTAGCCTGTTTTCCCAACAGCATTGATTAAATAGGGATTCTTTCCCCATTGCTTGTTTTTGTCAGGTTTGTCAGAGATCAGATGGTTGTAGATGTGTGGCATTATTTCTGAAGCCTCTGTTCTGTTCCATTGGTCTATATATCTGTTTTGGTACCAGCACCATGCTGTTTTGGTTACTGTAGCCTTGTAATGTAGTTTGAAGTAAAGTAGCATGATGCCTC
The DNA here is from genome assembly GCF_000001405.40 of Homo sapiens. Taxonomy (NCBI): domain Eukaryota; kingdom Metazoa; phylum Chordata; class Mammalia; order Primates; family Hominidae; genus Homo; species Homo sapiens. The sequence continues at coordinate 70,462,124 of NC_000013.11, read as the reverse complement.
CAGCTTTGTTCTTTTTGCTTAGGATTTTCTTGGCTATATTGGTTTTTTTTTTTTGGTTCCATATGAAATTTAAAGTAGTTTTTTTTTTCCTAATTCTGTGAAGAAAGTCAATGGTAGCTTGATGGGGATAGCCTTGAATCTATAAACTACTTTGGGCAGTATGGCCATATTCACGATATTGATTCTTCCTATCCATGAGCATGGAATGTTTTTCCATTTCTTTGTGTCCTCTCTTATTTCCTTGAGCAGTGGTTTGTAGTTCTCCTTGAAGAGGTCCTTCACATCCCTTGTAAGTTTGATTCCTAGGTATTTTATTCTCTTTGAAGCAATTGTGAATGGGAATTTGCTCATGATTTGGCTCTCTGTTTGTCTACTATTGGTGTATAGGAATGCTTGTGATTTTTGCACATTGATTTTGTATCCTGAGACTCTGCTGAAGTTGCTTAACAGCTTAAGGAGTTTTGTCTGAGGTGATGAAGTTTTCTAAATATACCATCATGTCATCTGCAATCAGAGATAATTTGCCTTCTTCTCTTCCTATTTGAATACCCTTTATTTCTTTCTCTTTCCTGATTGCCCTGGCCAGAACTTCCAATACTATGTTGAATAGGAGTGGTGAGAGAGGGCATCCTTATCTTGTGCAGGTGTCAAAGGGAATGCTTCCAGCTTTTGCCCATTCAGTATGATATTGGCTGTGTGTTTGTCATAAATAGCTCTTATTATTTTGAGATATGTTCCATCAATACCAAATTTATTGAGCGTTTTTAGCGTGAAAGGGTGTTGAATTTTATCGAAGGCCTTTTCTGCATCTATTGAGATAATCACATGGTTTTTGTCATTGTCCTGTTTATGCAATGGATTACATTTATTGTTATGTGTATGTTGAACCAGCCTTGAATCCCAGGGATTACGCCGACTTAAATCGTGTTGGATAAGTTTTGTAATGTGCTGCTGGATTTGGTTTGCCAGTATTTTATTGTGGATTTTCACATCAATGTTCATCAGGGTTATTGGCCTGAAATTTTCTTTTTTTGTTTTGTCTCTGCCAGTTTTTTGGTATCAGGATGATGCTGGCCTCAAAAAATGAGTGAGGGAGGAATCCCTCTTTTTCTATTGTTTGGAATAGTTTCAGAAGGAATGGTACCACCTCCACTTTGTACCTCTGGTAGAATTCAGCTGTGACTCCGTCTGGTCCTGGGTTTTTTTGTTGTTGGTAGGCTATTAATTACTGTCTCACTTTCAGAACTTGTTATATCTCTATTCAGGGATTCTACTTCTTCCTGGTTTAGTGTTGGGAGGGTGTGTGTGTCCAGGAATTTATCCATTTCTTCTAGATTTTCTAGTTTATTTGCATAGAGGTGTTTATAGTATTCTCTGATGGTAGTTTGTATTTCTGTGGGCTAAGTGGTGATCTCCCTTTATCATTTTTATTTTGTCTATTTGATTCTTTTATCTTTTCTTCTTTATTAGTCTGGCTAGCAGTCCATTTTGTTAACCTTTTCAAAAAACAAAGTCCTGGATTCATTGATTTTTTGAAGTGTATTTTGTGTCTCTATCTCCTTCAGTTCTGCTCTGATCTTAGTTATTTCTTGTATTCTGCTAGCCTTTGAAGTTGTTTGCTTTTGCTTCTCTAGTTCTTTTAATCGTGATGTTAGGGTGTTGATTTTAGATCTTTCCACCTTTCTTCTGTGGGCATTTCATGCTATAAATTTCCCTCTAAACATTGCTTTAGCTGTGTCCCAGAGATTCTAGTACATTATGTCTTTGTTCTCCTTGGTTTCAAATAACTTATTTATTTCTGCCTTAATTTCGTTATTTAGCCGGTATTCATTCAGGAGCAGTTTGTTCAGTTTCCATGCAGTTTTGCGGTTTTGAGTGGGTTTCTTAATCCTGAGTTCTAATTTGATTGCACTGTGGTCTGAGAGACTGTTTGTTATGATTTCCCTTCTTTTGAATTTGCTTAGGAGTGTTTTATTTCCCATGCTGTGGTCGATTTTAGAGTAAGTGCTATGTGGTAAGAAGAATGTATATTCTGTTGATTTAGGGTGAAGAGGTCTATAGAAATCTATTAGGTTTATTTGGTCCAGAGCTTCATTCAAGTCTTCAATATCCTTGTTAATTTTCTGTCTCGTTGATCTGCCTAATATTGACAGTGGCGTGTTAAAGTCTCCCACTATTATTGTGTGGGAGTCTAAGTCTCTTTCTAGGTCTCTTAGAACTTGCTTTATGAATCTCAGTGTTCCCGTATTAGGTGCATATATATTGAAGGTAGTTAGCTCTTCTTGTTGCATTGATCCCTTTACCATTATGTAATGTCCCTTTTAGTCTTTTTTGATCTTTGTTGGTTTAAATTCTTTTTCATCAGAGGCTAGGATTGCAACCCTATCTTTTTTTTTTTCTTTCCATTTGCTCGGTAAATCTTCCTTCATCCTTTTATTTTGAGCCTATATGTGTCTTTGCATGTGCGATGGGTCTACTGAATACAGCACACCAATGGGTGTTGACTCTTTATCCAATTTGCCAGACTGTGCCTTTTAATTGCAGCATTTCGTCCATTTAGATTTAAGATTAATATTGTATGAGTGTCATCCTTGTGCAGGGGCCGTGCTATTCTCCTCTGTATCATTCCAATTTTAGTATATGTGCTGCCGAAGCAAGCCCTAAGGTTAATATTGTTATGCGTAAATTTGATCCTGTGTTATGATGGTATCTGGTTATTTTGCTGATTAGTTGATGCAGTTTCTTCATAGTGTCAGTGGTCTTTATATTTTAGTTTCTTTGTGCAGTGGCTGGTACCGGTTTTTCCTTTCCATATTTAGTGCTTCCTTCAGGAACTCTTGTATGGAAGGCCTGGTGGTGACAAAATCCCTTAGCATTTGCTTTTCTGTAAAGAATTTTATTTCTCCTTCACTTATCAAGATTATTTTGGCTGGATATAAAATTCTAGGTTGAAAATTCTTTCCTTTAAGAATGTTGAATATTGGCCCCCACTCTCTTCTGGCTTGTAGTGTTTCTGCAGATAGATCTGCTGTTAGTCTGGCGGGCTTCCTTTTGTGGGTAACTCGACCTTTCTTTCTGGCTGCCCTTAACAATTTTTTCCTTCATTTCAACCTTGGGGAATCTGAAGATTATATGTCTTGGTGTTGTTACTCTCGAGGAGTATCTTTGTGGTGTTCTTTGTATTTCCTGAATTTGAATGTTGGCCTGTCTTGCGAGGTTGGGGATGTTCTCCTGCATAATATTCTGAAGTGTGTTTTCCAACTTGGTTCCATTCTCCCCATCACTTCCAGGTATACCAATCAAATATAGGTTTGATCTTTTCACATAGCCCCATATTTCTTGGAGGCTTTGCTCATTCCTTTTCATTCTTTTTTCTCTAATCTTGTGTTCAAGCTTTATTTCATTAAGTTGATCTTCAAACTCTGATGCCTTTTCTTCTGCTTGATCAATTTGGCTATTGATACTTCTGTATGCTTCATGAAGTTCTCATGTTAAGTTTTTCAGCGTCACCAGGTCATTTATGTACTTCTTTGAACTGGTTATTCTAGCTAGCAATTCCTCTAACCTTTTATCAAGGTACTTAGCTTCCTTGCATTGGGTTAGAACATGCTCCTTTAGCTCAGAGGAATTTGTTATTACCCACATTCTGAAGCCTACTTCTGTCAATTCATCAAATGTATTCTATGTCCAGTTTTGTTCCCTTGCTGGCAAGGAGTTGTGATCCTTTGGAGAAGAGGCATTCTGGTTTTTGGAATTTTCAGCCTTTTTGCACTGGGTTTTCCTCATCTCTTGGATTTATCTACCTTTTGTCTTTGCTGTTGGTGACCTTTGGATGTAGTTTTTGCATGGACATCCTTTTAGTTGACGTTGGTGCTATTGCTTTCTGTTTGTTGGTTTTCCTTCTAACAGGCCCCTCTTCTGCAGGTCTGCTGGAGTTTTCTGGGGTTCCACTGCAGGCCCTCTTTGCCTGGGTATCACCAGCAAAGGCTGCAGAACAGCAAAGATTGCTGCCTGCTCCTTCCTCTTGAAGCTTCAACCCAGAGGGCCACCCACCAGTTGCCAGCTGGAGCTCTCCTGTATGAGGTGTCTGTCAACCCCTGCTGGGAAGTGTCTCCTCATCCAGAGGCACAGGGGTCTGGGACCCACTTGAGTAGGCAGTCTGTCCCTTAGCAGAGGTCAAGTGCTGTGCTGGGAGATCCTTTGCTCTTTTCAGAGCCAGCAGGCAGGAACATTTAAGTCTGTTGAAGCTATGCCCACAGCTGCCCCTTCCCTCAGGTGCTCTGTCCCAGGGAGATGGGAGTTTTATCTATAAGCCCCTGACTGGGGCTGCTGCTTTTCTTTCAGAGATGCACTGCCCAGAGAGCAGGAATCTAAAGAGGCAGTCTGGCAACAGGGGATTTCCAGAGCTGCAGTGAGCTCCGTCCAGTCCAAACTTCCCAGGAGCCTTGTTTACACTGCAAGTGGAAAATTGCTTACTCAAGCCTCAGTAATGACAGACACCCCTTCCCCCACCAAACTGGAACATCCCAGATTGACTTCAGATTCCTATGCTGGCAGCCAGAATTTCAAGCCAGTGGATATTAGCTTCCTGGGCTCCATGGTGGTGGGATCTACTGAGCTAGACCACTTGGCTCCCTGCCTCCAGCCCCCTTTCCAGAGGAATGAAAAGTTCTATCTCACTGACGTTCCAGTCACCATTGGGTATGAAAAAAAACTCCTGCAGCTAGCTTGATGTCTGCCCAAACAGCCACCCAGTTTTGTGCTAAAAACCTAGGGCCCTTGTGGTGTAGGCACCTGAGGAAATCTCCTGGTCTGTGGGTTGTGAAAACCTTAGGAAAAGCATAGTATCTGGGCAGGATAGCACTGCCCCTCAGGGCACTGTTGCTCATGGCTTCCCTTGGTTAGGGGAGGGAGTTCCCTTAGCTGTTGAGCTTCCTGGGTGGGGCGATGCCCCACCCTGCATCTGCTCGCCCTCCATGGGCTGTACTCACTGTCCAACCAATCCCAATGAGATGTACCAGGTACCTCAGCTAGAAATGCAGAAATCACACTCCTTCTGCATTGGTCTTGCTGGGAGCTGCACACCAGAGCTGTTCCTATTGGGCCATCTTGCCCAGGAGTCCATATTTGCATTTTTAAAAAATTTCTGCTGCGAAACATACCAGACCAGTAAACATGGGCTGTGGCAGAGTGCTGGAGTCCTGAATCACCTTTGTTTCTTCTGTGAGTCTATAGAGCTTCCCAGACTGTGAAAAGATAACTCTAGTGGATGGATATCCATCTGAATTTCTCTTCTTAAAGTCTTGTTTTGGTGATTACTGTTCCTTGTCATCCCTGAAAAATCATAAGTCTTCTTTTCTTTGTTGCATGAATGGTAGTAGAAACAAGTATTACAAAAGTAGAAAATAAACTAGTACTACTACTAGTAGTAGCCTACTCTTATTAGGCTACTCACAAAGAAATAGTAGGCTACTCACAAAGAAAATGAACAACACATTTAAGAAGCATATTCTTATGAAAGGAAATAACTACCATCAGAGTTCAGGAAATAGAAAATAGATATTCTTAAATTGCTCGTTCAATTAGACACATTTCTTCAAAATTTGGAAATCACTCCAAAGAATCATAAAGTACTGTCCTTGTAAAAGCCATAGAAAATAGTTGCATCACATGAAAAACAAAGCAAAGCAAAAATTTTATTTTTAAGATAACAAAGAAGCATAAAAAAGCCAAACCCAGGTATTTTACTATGGTATATTCTTCATAATTTTGGCAGCCTTGTGTATATTTCAAATTATATATGTTTATGTGTTACAAGTTAAAGCAGGCTTCTTTTCTGCTCTACACATTTACAGTTTATTTTCTTGTATAGTAAATAATTAAATTATTTTTCCATGGCCATGTTACAAAAAGATTCTACATTTGACATTTATTTTAAAGCTCCTATAGCCAGGCTTCCCTCAGTTCGCCCTTTACTTTGAGCATGGGCTGTCACAAGCAAAATTAAGCTCGTCTTTTTAGACAGTGCCTGGTGGGCATGGAACCACCACTCTGCCTTGCTATCAGATTCTTTTGCCTGGAAACCCAGATACTGCTTTTCTTTACTTAAAAGCAGTTAGGCTTTGAGAAAACTCTAAAGTGATTTTGAAGGTGTAGAAGGGAAGAAGCAAAACAAATCTATTGGAAATGATGTAGCTAATTAGAGGACACAATGTTAGTACTCTAGAAAGGAAAAAACTCTAAATGACTATGCTTTTGTTGACTAATGTTATAGTATAGCATTGTTCATATGAAAAAAAAAGGTGTTTGTACACTATTGCAGGCTCTTTCTCCACAAATCCCACTTAGTAAGATTCTTGAGAAAGCTTCCTTCCTGGTTTCTGGGATAATAGAACAGCAGCTGGTGAAGAAGACACACAAAATTACTTCCAATCTCTTTACTCTCATCTCCAGTTGGTGAGAGATAATTGTCCATGAGTCTTTGTTTGCACACAGCTTGCAAGTAGAGGCATGGACAGTCTTTTGTTTCAGACTATTTTTCAAGAATATTTTATTTATTTATTTATTTTGAGATGGAGTTTCGCTCTTGTTGCCCAGGCTGGAGTGCAATGGCACCATCTCAGATCACTGAAACCTCCGCCTCCCTGGTTCAAGTGATTCTCCTGCCTCAGCCTCAGGAGTAGCTGGGATTACAGGCATGCGCCACCATGCCCGGCTAATTTTGTATTTTTAGTAGAGACGGAGTTTCTCCATGTTGGCCAGGCTGGTCTCGAACTCACGACCTCAGGTGATCTGCCTGCCTCAGCCTCCCAAAGTGCTGGGATTACAGGCGTGAGCCACTGTGCCTGGACTTTCAAGAATATTTATATAGTGAGCAGCTTTGGAAGATAGAGAAAGTGTCACTCTCAGGAAGAAAAAACAGATATATTTGCTGCCAGTATGACAAACATAATGTCTCCTGTGGGGCGGCAAAGTTTAGGAAGGTTTGTATGTGCTTCCTTATAAGTTCCCGATATGGTTTGGATGTGTGTCCCCTCAAAATTCCATGTTGAAGTGTGGTCCCCAGTGTTGGAGGTGGGGCCTAGTGGAAGGTGTTTAGGTCATGGGGGCACCTTCCCACCTGAATGGCTTGGTACCCTCCCTGCAGCAATGACTTCATGTCAGAGCTGGTTGTTTAAAAGAGCCTAGTACCTCTCTTGCTCCTTCTTGCCGTGTGACACACTAGCCCTCTTCCCTTCTGCTGTAACTGAAAGCTTCCTGAGGCCTCACCAGAAGCCAAGTGAAGGCTGATGCCATGTTTGCACAAACTGCAAACCATGATCCAAATAAACCCCTTCTCTTTATAAGTTAGGTATTCCCTTATAACAATGCAAAACAGGCTCAGGTATTCCTTTATAGCAATGCAAAACAAACTAACACATTTCCTAAGTTCTAGATTTCTTACCTGTAACACCTAGCTGCCCATCGTGCTGTCCCCACTGGATTCAGGAGTAGGGCAGTAAGAAAAAATGTGGACATAAAAGTTCAGTCTGTTTGCTCCTTTGTGGATAAAACAGTCTTTTGCCTCTGACCAAGGATTCTCAACGCATTTATGAAATTGAGGCAATCTCACTCGTTAGCTTTAAGTAAATATAATTTCAGACCCAATTGTTCTTGACACATCCTTCTAGAACAAAAGCCTTAATTTGCAGAGAATAGGAAATATAGCTTGTTGCTCTTAGATTACTGGAGTAAACACTGTGTAGCTGAGGGAAGCAAATAAAAGAAGATTTTAGTTTCGAAGGAGGGTCTGGAATACATGTTTTGTGCAGAACTTTATGTCAGGAAGTGTCAGGGCAACTGAGAGGGCCATATCTCTGATTCTCAGGATCCCAGAGCTTGTCTAAGTCTGAAGCTTAATCATGACAGAGAACTCCACCACCACTCCATCATCAAGCTAACAAGCATCAAATGACAAGCAAAACACTTAAAGCTGAAGGAGGGGATGATTGAGAACACTCTCTGGCACATGGACTCCTACCTGAAAACACATAGTAAACTAGAAAAACATGAAGCCTGTGCTGCACTGAGGATACCATAGCAGTAATAATGCCCAAATCCAGTCGCATTTCTTACTAGATTGACTGCAACCCTCACACTAAAAACTCTAATAGAAGAAAGACATGTTCATTTTGAGGGCATAAAATGTGTTAACCTCAGGTTTTTTCTGTCTTATACAAGATGTCCAGGTTAAAAATTTTTTAAATGACAATCCACATTAAAAGGCAAGAAAACCCACTCCCAGGAGACAAAGCAATCAACATAACAATACTTATATATAAAATATTAGGGGCCTATAGCGAATTTTAAATAACTATCATTAACATGTTAAAGGCTCAAATGGAAAACATGGGTCATGTGTAAGATAGATGAATAATTTTGGCAGAGAGATGAAAACTATAATAATAAGCTTAACAGAAATGCTAAAAATAAAAATAAAATTATTTGAAAAGATAATTGAGGTAAAGGATGCCTTCAGTGAATTACTCGACTAATGTTAAAGAAAGAATTAGTCAAGCTTGAAGATAGGTCAGTAGATATTTACCAAGTTGAAACAAAACAAATAAAAGAATAAAAAAGTAAAACATAATAGTTGTGGGGCAATATCAAACAGCCTAACATATGCTATTGAAATTCCAGAAGAGCAAGAGAGAAAGAATGAGGCAGAAGAAGTATTTGAAATATAATGGTTGAAAATTTGCAAACATTAATGAAAGACAATTATCACAGATCAAATATGTTCAGAGAACACCTGGAAATATCAACAACAAAATATATACTTGTGTATTGTATTAGTCCATTCTCACATTGCTATAAAGAAATGCCTGAAACTAGGTAATTTATACAGAAAAGTGGTTTAATTGATTTATGGTTCTACAGGCTTTATAGGAAGCAAAGCAGCATTTGCTTTTGTAGAATCCTCGAGAGAGCCCACACTCATAGCAAAAAGCAAACGGGGATCAGGAGTGTCATAGGGCAAAAGCAGGAAAAAGAGAGAGAGGAGGGAGATGCCACAGACTTTTAAATGACCCGATCTCATGAGAACTCACTGACTATTGCAAGGACAGTACCAAGGGGAAGGTACTAAACAAATTATGGGAAATCAGCCCCCATGATTCAATCACCTCCTATCAGGCTCCATTTCTATCTTTGGGGATTACATTTCTACCTGAGATTTGGGTGGGGACAACATCCAAACTATATCATAAATCATATTCGAATTCCTTTAATCCAAAGACTAACAGAAAATCTTCAAGGCACACAGGGAAGAAATATACATTTACAAACATACAAAAAAAGATTATAATGACAAGCAGACTTCTTATCATAGCCCATGCAAGTCAGTAGACAGTGACATGTTGTCTAAAAATGCTGAAACAAATGAAAAATACTGTCAACCCAGAATACCAGGCAAAAATATCTTTCAGAAAAGCAGGAAAAAGTAAGCTCTCAAACAACCAAAAATCAGACAAAATCCACGGCTAACAAGTGTATATTACGAGAATATTTACAGAAAGTTTTTCCTGAAAATACAATATGAGATAAAAAAGAAATCTTGGATCAACATGAAGAAATGTAGAGCACTGGAAATGGAATAAATAAAAATAAATTATGTTTAGTTTAAACCACTCTAAAAGGTAAGTGATTGTCTAAAGTAAAATCATTAGAATTGTAGTGCTAGTTCATGTTATTTGTTAAAGCAAAAATACATGATAACACTAGCACTAAAAATGAGAGGTAGAAATTGTTAATATAGTGTTACTAGCCCTTTATGCTGTATATCAACTGTTATTAAGATAGACACTGATTAAATAAAGATGTATAATCTAAATTCAATGGCAACAATTAAAATGATATTTGAATGAGTACAAATAAAAAGTCTATGGTGGAGATAAAATTGAAGCATAAAATTCTCATTTACCCTATGAAAAGACATAAAGAAGATAAAATATATAAAGAACAGATGGAAAAATAAAAACAACTGGCAATTTGAACTTCATCCAACCATATCAAATCAACACTTTCAGTTAGAGTGGTATGAACATAAGAATTAATAGAGTTGTCAGATTTGATAAAAAAGAAAAACAGGAAGACCCAAATATTTGCTGTCTAAAAGAAAGTTGATTTAAGTGTAACCATAGGTCAAAAATATAATGATGGAGAAAAATATACCATACCAAATTTGACCAAATGAAAGCTGGATTATCTATGCTAGTATCAGAAAAATTGGACTTTAGAACAATGAAGATTACCAAGGATGAAAAGAGGTATTATATAGTCACATAGAAGTTAAATCTCTAAGACACAGCAATACTAACAGGTATTTACCTAATAACAGATTTTCAATATAAAAACAGCAAAAACTGTTAAAATTGAAAGGTGAATAGACAAAGTTGCAATTTTAGCTAGAGACTTTTACATTCTTCTCTTAGTAATTGATCGAATAAGAAGACAGAAAATTATTGTGTACACATAGAAGATACAAAGATTATCAAACAGCATAATCTAGTCAATATATACAGAGGGCTTCAAGAAATATTATTTCAAGAGCATAGTGAACATTTTTTATAGGGACACACAAAATATACACTAAAATAGACCATATATTTTTTAGAAAATGTAGAAATGTTAAAGGATAAACATAATAGTAAGTATATTAGTCCATTTTCACACTTAATTTCATGAAGAAATACCCAAGACTGGGTAATTTATAAAGAAAAAGAGGTTTAATGGACTCATAGTCCCACAAGGCTGGGGAGGCCCCATAATCATGGTAGAAGACTAAGAAAGAGCAAAGTCATGTCTCACGTGGTGGCAGGAAAGACAGTTTGTGCAGGGGAACTCCCATTTACAAAACCATCAGATATTATGATACTTATTCATTACTATAACAGTAGTGATCAGTATGGGGTAAACCACCCCTATGATTCAATTATCTCCACCTGGTCCCACCCTTGACATGTGGGGATTAGTATAATTCAAGGCAAGATTTGGGTGGGGATGCAGCCAAACCATATTAGTAAGGTTATTCTCTGAAAATAATATAATTAAAATAGAATTCTGTAATTAGATATCTTGAAAATTCAAAAATATATGGAAATTTAAAACTATTCTAAATAACCCCTGAGTCAAAGAGAAAGTGTCTAGCAAAGTTCTAACACATTAACTAAATGAAAAGAAAAATACAGCAGCAGGTTCTTAAATAGTTGTTTTGTTCAACGTCCTTTGTTATAATGTTGATTAGAGGAAAAAAAATGATTCACTGTCTGTGTAGTTTGCTCATTCTCCCCATGTCTGCCTTGTTTTTTCTGGGTACTCTGGTTACCTCTCACTTCCTAACGATCTGCACATTAGGTGAATTTTGGCTTCTCTGAAGCATTCCATTGTGAACGTGTGATATGTATGCACGTGTGTGTGTGTGAGCGAGTGTGCCCTGTGATGGGATGGCATCCTGTCCAGGGTGGTTCTTGCCTTGTACCATGAGCTGCAGGGATAGGATCCAGCCGCTTACTACCCTGAACTGAAATAACTGGGCGGATAATTATCTTATTTGTTTTAATTAATCTTTTTTTAACTGCATGTGTAGCTCACATTTATTTGAATGATTAATATTAGAAGTGTTTTGGTCTTCACTGAGAAGTTCGCAGATGTTTTTGTGACGAGAAAACGTATATTATAGGAACTTAACTCTTGTTTGTATAAATTAGCCTGTGGTAAAATTGGTTTCTTTATACATCATTTTGCTGAAATTTGCAGTTTTAAAGAACCTATAAGGGATGTTAGGTGATGACTCACTGTACACAATATCAAAACTGGTAGGATATAGCTAAATCACTGCTTAGACGTACATTTATAGAATAAATGTGGTTAGAAAAGACAAAAGTCTCAAACCAGTAAGTTCAATAATATGAACTCTTATCCTAAGAAATTAGATGAAAAAAGAACAAATTATACCCAAAGAAAGGCTGATTCAAGATTTGAAAACCAATTATTGTAATTCATCATATAATGGACTAATGAAGAAAAATATGATCATGACAAAAGGTATTAAAAAATCTTGTAAAAAATGAACATCCATTCATGGTAAAAACTCTCAGCAAATTTGGAATAGCAGGAAATCAGACTTAATAGTAAAGATGGATAGCTTTGACAATAAGATCAGAAACATAATAATATCATTCTTACTACACTGATTCAACACCCTATTGGAAATCCTAGTCACTGCAACAAGACAAGATAATAAATGGCATAAAGATTTGACATGAAAAAGCAAAAACACAAAACATGTCTCAATTCACAGACAGCATGAATATCAGAATACTCCAATGTTTATGTTAACAGAATCAATTCCCAGAAAGTTCCGTAAATGAAGCTGTCACTAAAAAGGTAGTATGTTTAGTCATGTTTGTTATTTATTCCATGGTCTGAATGGTGAGAGGTGTTGCATTTAGAAACAAATGAATCCACTGAACACAAAGAATCATCTGAAAATACACCTTTTTGGAAAACTTTCCTACTAAAATCTAAGTTTTATTAGAACCTATTAAAAATTAGATTTGGTTATTTCCCTTATAAAGCAAGGTCTGTAGAATTTCATGGCATTCCTTCCTAGTTTCCTTGAAAAAGGATGTGAGCTCCGAATGAATCTTTTTAAGTATGAATTACTTTTTAAATAGTTTCTCCCTATGTAAACCCTTTGACCATGGAGACTTGAACAATCACTGCTTTCTAAGGATAATGATAGTAGTGATGTCTCGCCCTTATGTGGAAACCTGGATAACCACTAGAGTGTACTTTCTCTTCCTGAAAAACAAATGATATATACACACTGATCATCTCAATAGTCTGAGGGAAGGAATGTAATGAAACAAGATTCCTCAGAGAACCAGTAAAAAAGGAAATGAGTTTTTATTATTTCTACACTCGTGAGCATACCCAACTACAGTCTCAGCAATACCTTGAATCTCTGTCCTTTTAGCCCAGGCAAGGCTCTGACAAATGGAATATTTTCAGCTATTAGGAACTTCCCTGACACTTTTTCTATGCTTTGAGCTTTCACGCACAGCTTTCACTTGAGATATAATGAGCAAAATGGCTGTAAGGTGTCAGCAATTGGAAGGTGTTGTGTAAGGGATGACTTTTCCTACACATCCATTGTGAAGGTATGTTAACTAGATGGCTTTAAAAATAGATCCAGTTCCCCTTTTGTCTGCTTAGATATGATCCTATTACAATCAGGAGAAAAATATATTCTCTATAGAATGCAAACTGCAAAATGTTACCAAATCTTTAGATTTGAGGTATTACATGTAACTGTGAGCAAATCATAAGGAAGTTTATGAAGTCTTTTTTAATACATAGAGAAATATACCTAATTGAGAAGCATATACACAGAAGCAATAATATATAAATCTTAATTTAGGTATTGTCTTTTAGGTCAACCATTTACTTTTCATGCTTTCTCATTGAGAGACGGATGAGAGGAAACCGCTGACGATATTTATTCAGTCTTTCATGCTGAGCTTTTGGTATCTAGAACATATAAGTGATTTTGACAGCTAACATTTATTATTTTAATTAGGATATAATTAGACGACTAGTGGATAATAAAGGATAGAATAAACGGTTGCATTTTAATAAGAAAATAATGTACATAGCTAATTTTTTAGGGCCCATTAATAGATTCTTTTAATAAATAAGAGTTTCAACAAATCATTTAGAGAGTCAAGTCCCCACACACATTTACAGCTTAACATACATACTCATACACACATTCTATTTTAAATATACCCACATGAAAATACATGTAATGAATTTCTCTGTTTTATTCCACCTAGAGTACAGTTCAGCCTCATCTTTCATGCCAGCCCTCCTCTGTCATGCTCCTCGCTGCTTCCCGGCCTTCATTTGTGATCTTTTTTTTCCATCTTTACCTTGCTAGAGTTCAAATTCAAAATCATTTCTCAAGGAGCTATTCTCTTACTTTCTAATTTAAATTTTATAACTACCCTCCTTCCCTTATTCTTATCACAGTTGGTAATTACTTACTATCTGTCTATTATTAAACACCAGTCTCCCTAGCTAAATTGTGAGTACTATCATGATAAGATTATTGTGAGCTTGGTTAATCATTTTATGTCTAGGGTCTAGCAGAATGCCTGGCACAGAGAAGATGCCATCCTCAATACCTGCTTCTTCCCTAATTTTTCTCATTTTTGTAAAAAGGATAAGGGCCAAAGATATGCTTCCTCTCTTTCTCTCTCATTCCTTAGCTAAACCATTGGCAAATCCTACCCAGTCTTCTTTAAATGTGCACTATCTTAAAATATGCTCTAAATTATACATCTGAGTACTTTTCACTCCCTTTGCCTCTGACAGGCTCATCCAATCCTTTATAATCCACTGCCTGGGTTGCAGCAATAATATTCTAAATAATTTATCTGCTTTTCCGCTTGTTCCCAATCTCTAGAATTTTTTTCCCAGTAACTACAGGAATTATATGTAATAAATATATACATAGATGATAGATAGACGATAGATAGAGATGTATTATCTACATATATAAATAAGATCATGTAACTTCTTTACTCAAATCTTTCCAATGTCCTTTCTTCACATTTAGAACAAATCCAGTGTTCTTCTTGAAGTTAATAAAGCTCTTAATGATTTGCTCCCTAACCTGCTTCATCTCTACCACCCTTGTTTTTGCTCTCCCACTCCAAACATGCTCCTGAAACCGACCAATGGACAACATGTCAGGGCCAATATACTTATGGTTCCACGTGCTAGGTAGGCACCATACTCATGTGTTCATCGCGTAAATGTAGCATCATAGAAGTCTTACATGAACATACTCTCCCAAATAGTTCCTTTCACAATCATTTTCTATTAACCATTTTTAATGTCGTGAAACCTCATACTCTCTAGCATTTGAGTATTTATTTTTTGTCTTTTTTTTTCACTGAAATATAAGGTTTTAGGAGTATAGACTTTTTAAAAACTTGACTTAATTTTCAAGCAACCATTAGATTCTCAACAAATAAGTTAAAGTGAACAAATAAAATTTCAACACATAGTTCTTTGAAACAGGAATGACTAAGTAAAATAATGAGTGCGTGAATAAGTTGGAACAGACAAATCAGGTTACACAAGGAAACATTCTCTCTTGCAAGCAATAAACTATACCCAAAGAATAGTAAACTTCCAGGTTTTAACACTGTTCTCATATATTAAACATGCATTATGCATCAGGTTTATTTATTACATCCATGATATGTATTAGTTATGTTAGCCCATGTTTTTATGATGTCACTTATCTGCTTCATAAAAAAGACCCTTAATTTTTGTAAGCCATCATATTCTGTCTAATTTATTTTGATTAGTATTCAGGTTTATTTATCATCTGGTTATAATCTGCTTCATTGATCACATTATCAATATCATTTGCTGTAAAGAATCTCTCATACCTCTTTTGTATCTTTCAGTGTGTTAAACATTATGCTGACACCAATAACTCACATTCTGGTTTCTATACTATTATTCAATACAAGAAACTGGAACTCTTTGGGGACATGGCTAATTCTAGGGTAAGAGAATGGAACATACAACATGATTCTCGAGCATCTTCTAATATCAGAAAGTGGGACAGTACTCAGTAAAAAAATCACCACAATAATACCAGTATGACAAAAAGCACAGGAGCTATCCCAAAACCTCCCAGTGCCCAAAGCTGGAACAACGAGAGCAAGAACAACAACAAAACAAGTAGAATTGGATTACAATTCCATGTATAAAATAAATATCCATATGTCCATACTGATATCAACAAATGATTGAATAAATAAAAGTGGGAGAATAGCTGCATTTTTTGTGCAAAAGAAATCCAAAAATTTCATCCATTTTCTCTGCCCTCAAGAGGGTGGAGCATAACTCCCCATTCCTTAAGTGTGGGCTGTACATAGGGACTTATTTTCTAAGAGTGCAGTAGACAAAGGGGAAAAACAGTAACTTTACAATGGAGAAACCTGACAAATGCTAATGGAGCCAGATGATCAAGGTTCACATCAACAGTAATATGTCATATTGCCAGTGTGTACCCTTAATATGCTGTGATGAAAATGACACTTTATCTCTTTGGCCTGCCTTTCCAAAATATATAACTTCTGTCTAATCATGAGAAAAAAACATCAGGCCATCCAAAATTGAAGAATATTCCCAAAATATCTGGCCAGTACTCCTCAACTTTTCAAGGTCATCAAAAGAAAGGAAAGCCTGAGAAATGGCTCAGAGAAGGCTAAGAAGACACAGTGACTCAATATAATGTGGTATCCTGGATGGGACCTTGGAATGGAAAAAAAGGATATTAGATAAAAACGAAAGATACCTAAATAAAGTACAGACTTCAGTTAATGAAAGTATATCACTATTTGTTCATTAATTGTGACAAAGCTACCATGCTAATCTAAGGTATTAATAACAGGAGACATTAGTGTTGGATATATGATAACTATACTATCTTTACACTTTTTCTATACATTAAAAAAGCTTATTAAAATATTTATGCAGATCTCCGCAGCTGGTACATGATTAATTGCTAAAGCTAGAATTAGATTTAGAGCCCAACATTTTATCTATAAACAAACGGAGGCCAAAGAACTTCCACAGCTATCTAGACATTTTAAATATATCTTTCATTTTTAAGCATCTCTATGTCACATACACTTTTTCTTTTGACTTGTATTTGTCCATGTCAATTCCAAAGACGTTCCCTAATGAAAGTATATTAGGGACCAATCTTGTAAAAGTGATACAAAGTTTGAAAAGTTAGAAAATTGATCTAATAGTTAAGATTTGGGAAAATATATCTACAGTATATTTCTGTGGGTGGTATTCACTTGCTGACTAAAATCATATTCCTTCTTCCACTCTATTGTTACACAGTAATTTTCCAAGATCTGTTAACATTTCTTATTATTTTGAAGTAGAAGAATATAATTTCCTAGTTTTTGTTGAGGAACTTGATTATTTCTCAAACTATGCCTATGGAAAAACGTACTTTTTTTTGTAAAGTCCATTTTTTTTTCTACTGAACTCTCTTTGATTCATGTCACTGGTATGAGCCATTAGAAAATTGTTTCTGTCCTTCACAGCTTTGTGTCAGATGTCAGTTTTACTTTGACAATGGAGACCTGAGCACAATGTAGCATTTGACTAAGGAAACAACTTGTATTTTTCCCCCCTCTTCTTTAGGGAATTGCTTTGTTTTCTTGTATTGGCAGAGGAGGAGAATGCTGACAAGATGATATTGAATTAGACTCAAGCCAGCTAGTCTGGGTCATTAGCTTATGTGCCAAGCAACAACTTCACATTCGGTCTGCAAACAAAGTCATTTTTTTAAAACTGCTAGTGCCAAATCTCTTTAATAATGTATCAACCTTGTCATCGTCATTACTTTAGCACTGCAGAAATGCCACTATAATAAACCGTCAATTTCATGTTATGCTTTAAAAATTTTGAATCTAAATAAGAGTGATGAATCAAAATAAACATAATTAAGTTAAAGAGATAATATCTCTAAGATTTTTCCATAACTCTTTTTAATGAAGATTTCATCTAGTGCCTGTAATTTGTTTTCTCATGCAGACTTTTATAATTTAATATGTATTTATAAAATTTTTGGCTGGGTGCAGTGGTTCACACCTGTAATCCCAGCACTTTGGGAGGCCAAATTGTTAGGACTGCTGGAACCCAGGAGTTTGGGACAAGCCTGGGCAACAACGCAAAACCCCATTTCCACAAAAAATTTGAAAACTAGCCTGACATGGTGGCATGTGCTTGTAGTTCTAGTTACTCGAGTAGCAGCAGGATCCCTTGTGCCCAGGAGTTCAAGGTTGCAATGAGCTATGATCCCACCACTGTACTCCACCCTGGGCGACAGAGTAAAACCCTGTCTCAGAAAAATAAAATAAAATTAAAAATAAAATAAAATAAATTAACAAAATAAGATAGCATTAAATAAAGTAAAATAAAATTATTGAAGACAAAAAGAAAGATAGTTTGAGTGATAATAACAAAACTTTTATGAACACTTCTATTTCTGCCAAGATTGTCCTGAATTAATTTATGCATTTATTTTCAGCAGGATACTGACCTATGCAAAATTACAAGTCTGATAATTTTTAGGTCTGAGAAGTTAAAGTCTTAGTTTTTATATGAAGAACTTAGAATAAAATGTTACAATTGACACAATAATTATAACATTTGGCAAACAATGTATTATTGTTTGGCAATATACCAAATTACATCACAACCTCCACACCAGGATGTTAATGCTTTTGTGCCTGTAGTGATGTCTTTTAATTTGTCATAATGTCAGGTACAAATGTGTTAGCATTTGATGGTTCTCTGCTATGTAACAGAGAGTAGTGTTCTGACTTTGCTCTTTGTGTCTGCTAAACCATCTATAGTGACTCATTCATCCTAATCAGGTCATTGGTTTTTGCAATGATATGATGTTTTACTATACAGGAATACACACATCAGAGGATCACTTTTAATGTAACTGAAATGTTCAATATTCATATTTCATCATAGTTGTTATTATCTAGCCCCCTTAGCAGAGGCCTTCTGACCAGAGTGACTCCATCTTGAATAGGGGCTAAATAAAATGAGGCTGAGACCTACTGGGTTGCATTCTCAGGAGTTAAGCATTCTTAGTCACAGAAGATTTACCGCTAAGGGAACAGGTTAATAACGTTTACTGAAGAGACCCAGGAAATGCCTGATGTCCTTATATCTTAAGAACAAAAGCATTCCTAGTTTAAGAATAAGTTTTGCTTTTAAGATATTAATAGAGATTCTTGTGGAAGATGATATTTACACAAAGACTCCACTGATAAAACGGGATGTAGTAAAGAAGCCAGTCAAAACCTGTCAAAACCAAGATGGTGACAAAAGTAACCTCTGGTCATCTTCACTGCTCATTATACACTAATTATAATGTATTAGCATGCTAAAAGACACTCCCGTCAGTACCATGACAGTTTTCAAATGCCATGACAACCACTGGAAGTTACTCTATGTGGTCTAAAAAGGGGAGGGATCCTCATTTCCAGGAATTCCCTGACCGTTTCCCAGAAAACTCATGAATAGTGCACCCACTTTTTAGCATATAATCAAAAAATAATTGTAAGTATACTTGGTCAAGCAGCCCATCCCACTACTCTGCCTGTGGAGTAACCATTCTTTTGTTCCTTTACTTTCTCAATAAACTTGCTTTCACTTTACTCTGTGGACTTGTCCTGAATTCTTTCTTGTGTGAGATCCAAGAACCTTTTCTTAGAGTCTGGATCAGCCCCTGATATGGTTTAGCTTTGTGTCCCTACTTAAATCTCATCTTGAATTTTAATCCCAGGTGTTTAGAGAGGGACCTGGTGGGAGGTGATTGAATCATGGGGGTGGTTTACTTCATGCGGTTCTTGTGATAGTGAGTGAGTTATCACAAGATCTGATGGTTTTCTTTTTCCTTGCTTTTTGTTTTTTATTTTACTTTTAAGTTCTGGAGTACATGTGCAGAATGTGCAGGTTTGTTACATAGGTATACATGTGCTGTGGTTGTTTGCTGCACCCATCAGTCCATCATCTAGGTTTTAAGCCCTGCATGCATTAGGTATTTATCCTAATGCTCTCTCTCCCCTTGCCCCCTACCCCCCTACAAGCTTCGGAATGTGATGTTCCCATCCCTGTGTCCACATGTTCTCATTGTTCAACTCCCACTTATGAGTAACAACATGTGGTGTTTGGTTTTCTGTTCCTGTGTTAGTTTGCTGAGAATTATCGTTTCTAACTTCATCCATGTCCCTGCAAAGGACATGAACTCATTTTTATGGCTGTATAGTATTCCATGGTGTATGTGTACCATATTTTCTTTATCCAGTTTATCATTGATGGGCATTGAGATACCATCTCATACCACTTAGAATGGCCATCATTAAAAAGTCAGGAAACAACAAATGCTAGTGAGGATGTGGAGAAATAGGAATACTTTTACACTGTTGGTGGGAGTGTAAATGAGTTCAACCATGTGGAAGACAGTGTGGTGATTCCTCAGGGATCTAGAACTAGAAATACCATTTGACCCAGCAATCCCTTTCCTGGGTATATCCCCAAAGGATTATAAATCATTCTACTCTAAAGATACATGCACAAGTATGTTTATTGCAGCACTATTTACAATAGCAAAGACTTGGATCTGATGGTTTTATAAGTGTTTGACAGTTCCTTCTTCACATGCTCTTTCTCACCTGCCGTCATCTAAGACGTGCCTGCCTCATCTTGCAAGGTGATTGTAAGTTTCTTGAGGCCTCCCTAGCCATGCTGAACTGTGAGTCAATTAAACTTCTTTTCTTTAGAAATTACCCACTCTCAGACATTTCTCTAGAGCAGTATGAAAACAGACTAATACAGAACCCTTTCCAGTAACACTTTGGTTTATACTGATTTGTACAGTAGTTCAAAGACATGTAATATAATTGTTCACTGATTAAATACCATTCAATGCCTTTACTTCTATTTTTCAAAACTCTGTTAATTCATTAAATAGTTATAATGGAGGCCTTAATACACTCATAATTATTTTAGGGTTTATTTTTATACATGGTAATAAAGTATGTGGCATGGTTTTTCTAAATGAGAGATAAAATTATTTGTTTATCCTTTTAATCCTTCATCCTGAGTTGTAAAACTGTTGAGAGACTTTAAAAGTGATTTGTATGTCAACAGGAAAAGGAAATAATTGATAACTACAAGTTTTCTAAACATGCCATATGAAAAGGTAGTTCAGGGGCCCATAATCCAAAAGAAGCCTCTTTAAAGTTTAGTAAAGATAATGAATAGATAGAGAGATACGTAGATAGATGAAAAGTTTTCAGATGATTCTGGTATGTGGCAATTCTTGAGCACTACTATTCTAGAGCAACTTCATCAGATAGTTTTCTAATAATAGATTTAGAGTCTTCAGGGGAAAAAACTGATAATCAACCTGAGGTCAGGGAAGAGATATTTAAAAAGAAGATCTCTTCTCTACTCCCACTGCTTCACTTGACTAGATTTAAAAGAAAACATAACATTAAGTAAACAATAAAAAGAGAAGATTAGCTAAGCAATAGGCACGTTTCTTCTTTTCTTGAAGGTGGGGTAACTTCGGGGAAACTGGAAACTGGAAATGATACTTCGCTGCCTAATATGGTTTGGTGGTGTCCCCGCCCGAATCTCATCTTGAATTGTAGCTCCCATAATTTCCACGTGTTATGAGAGGGACCCTATGGGAGGCAATTGAATCATGGGGGGCAGTTTCTCCTATACTGTTCTCATGGTAGTGAATGAGTCTTACAAGATCTGATGGTTTTATAAGGTGTTTCCCCTTTCTCTTGGTGCTCATTCTCTCTTACCTGCCACCATGTAAGACATGCCTTTTGCCTTCTGACATGATTGAGAGGCCTCTCCAGCCACATGGAACTGTGGGTTCATTAAACCTTCTTTTCTTTATAAATTACCCAGTCTCAGGTATGTCTTTATCAGCAGAAGCATGAAAATGGACTGAAACTTTGCCATCTAATACCTCCTATGTAATTCAACTTTCTGAGGTCCTGAAATCGCACAGCCATTTTTTTTTCTTTTCCTCACCTCAAACCTTTCTCCTTCTACTATTAAGTGTATGAATTGAATGATTGTATTATTACTGAGAGAGGATTTGATGAAGTAAATATGGAGAAAGAATAAGGTTTGCCAAAGGTTTCCCAGGTAGGCAAGACAAAACACATGAACACATTGGAATGAGGAGTAGAGTGCCTAAAGATGAGGCTTATAAATTCCATAGATAGATTTTATATTTTCTACATAGGTACTAGCATTTGGGTTGGGTGATATTATCTCATAGCAACCAAAGGTGGTGTGATATCCCAAAGGTGAAGGTTCTGCAACCCAAACCCCTTTGTCAGAGCCACTGTGAAAGAATCCATTTATCAAAGTACAGGATCATTGGGTGGGCATGGTGGTTCCTGCCTGTAATCCCAGAACTTTGGGAGGCTGAGGTGGGTGGATCACTTGAGGTCAGGAGTTTGAGACCAGCCTGGCCAACATGGTGAAACTTGTCTCTACTAAAAATACAAAAAAAGTAGCTGGGCATGGTGGCACATACCTGTAACCCCAGCTACCTGAGAGGCCGAGGCAGGAGAATCGCTTGAACTTGGGAGACGGAGGTTGCAGTGAGCCAAGATGGCGCCACTGCACTCCAGCCTAGGTGACAGAATGAGACTCGGTTAAGAAAGAGAGAGAGAGAGAGAGAGGAAAGAAGGAAGGAAGGAAGGAAGGAAGGAAGGAAGGAAGGAAGGAAGGATCAAAACTTGCTTTTTACAATTCCTATAGCTTCATTCATTGGATTTATGATCCAATCAGTTATTTCATTCTTCCATCCATTTGGTACCTACTGGGGGTTAAGAACAGAATGATAAATAAAACAGAGTCCCTTATAAATGAATAATTATTACTACATTGTGATTACACTATAAAAAATTATGAGCAAAGAGGCCAAGGAAATAAGATTTCATTTTTTCAGTCAATAATTTGCTTTATTAAAAACTCAAACTGGTAAAGACCTTCAATTAGAAGTAAAGGAATATAGAGTATTGCAATAAGAAGAAAAAAATGGGCAGGCCAAGTGAAGAAATGACGTGTTCCCAAGGAATCCAGTGGAGTAGTTCATTTTGGCAGAATGTTTGTCTTACAGAGTTTTTATTACAATACAGTTAAATCCTGTCCTTTAGTGCTTTGGTTATCAGTTATACATTTGAACAGGATTAGCAGAAATAAGATAGAACTGGTGAACCACAGGGCAGGGAAAAGTGCACAGGTTTTGCATTTACACTGTTGGATTGGTGGCTCTATCACTTGTAGGCAGATGCCTTTAGATTACTTAACCTGATTGTTAATTTTTTTCTGTAAAATGTGAATATTATAATTTAGCCATTATAATTTAATCATCGCAGATGTGTGATGATTAAATGTATATATGTAAAGCCCTCAGAAAGGTGATTGCCCACAGTCACAGCTAAGTGGATTTGGGTGCTATACTTACAGCCACTGAATAACTTGGAGTCCTATAGGCTTGGATGCAATCTTAAATCCTATGAAATTTAATAAACTGACCATTTAATTGTAGTAAATTAAACATCAGGACTCTAATGGAATGGAATAACTAATGTCTTTCTAATTAAATGATTTATTAATCATGTGACTCCCTCAATCTGGACGGACATACAGATATGTCTAATAAGGTGATCACGTACAAATGAAGTATAAACACCATTAATATTTGAAAGATTCAGTCAATATCAGGAATTTTATGGCAATATAAATCTGCTGTTCCTCTAAAGGTATAGCGGCTTTCAAAAACAAGCTTTCACATTTATTTATTGTCCTGGTAGAGTCAATGTGATCAAATATACTCTCATGTGTATAATGTTATTTATATACAAATGTGATGATCCAGGGTCCACAGTAGAGGTTCTTTACATTATTTCTATACATAGATATGTTTTCTCCTACTACCAACCATGAAAATGGGAGGGGAAAGGAAGGGATGTGCTTTTCATTGAAAAATTGAGCCCCTAATGGCTCCTACTTGGCTACCTTATTCATTAGAGAGCCTCTGAGGAAACTAAATAGTATTCGTGAATGGCTCAGGAAACATTTTGCATGCAAGGATTAAAGATAAATCACAATTAGAAAATCTTATTTTCATGAAGTGACTTTTTAATTAGAGGGAAAACAAGCTCTCAATCACAAATCAGTGAATAAACAACTTTGACAGACCTCCTTTCGGTATCCTCCTTGCCTCTTCTAAAGGTTTATTTTTTAATTATTATTTTAAGGAGAAAGCATTCTGTTCATCTAACACTAGATCTGATTCCTGCATCTACCATCCTCTATTTTCTTTTTAAACTAATATTTTAATTGCGTTTGTACATGTAATTTATGCCTTACTTTGAAGGTTTAGGAAACACACACATACACCCAACAGAAAAGGTTTATTCTCCATTCTGGAAAAAAGAAAGAAAGAAAGAAACAAACAAAAACCAAACAACACAACAGCAGTTAAAAAATTAATTGACAAAATATATAAAACAACAATGTTCAGTTATTGCATATCAGGCAACACAGGGGAATAGTACCTCAGAGAGAAGAAAAAAATAAAATCGGCCCTATTAGTTGTACTATTATACTCACTGAAGAAAGATCACAGACCTAAGCCATAAAAGTGAGCTGGTGGAGACCAGTGAACCGCCTGAGATGAAGAAATGGAAGGCTAAAGGAGGAGTAAAAGAAGGCCAACATGGCTAGAAATTCACAAGACAAAACAACAGAGAAAAGAGAGCTGCATTGGACATCTGCAAAGTGTTCCCTTGGAGTCCTCGGCTAGGTACTAATCAGCATGTGTGAGTGTGAGGATGATACCAAGTGTTGGGGAAAGAACCACCTAAAAAGAGCAAGGGAAAATGTCCTCTGAGCTCAGAGAGGATTGTAAAGTGTCCATGTTACCATAAACCAGAGGGGGAAGTCTTGTAATTCAAGAAGAATTAAGGATGCTCACCAGGAGGATATAATAGTCCTAATGATTCACGCAACTATTACAAACATAAAACAGGTGAAGCAAAACCCTATATAACTGAAAGAAGAAATACACAAGTCCACAACCATAGTTAGAGATGTCAGCACACATTTCAATAATTGCTAAAAGAAATAGAAAATTAGGAGGGATATATAAAACTTCAACAACACTATAAACCAAGCTAAAGTATCATTTTAATAAGATATTTTGTGTCTATATTCATGAGGAATATTGGTCTCATTTTGGTACTGCCTTTGGCTTGTTTTTATATCAAGGTAATCCTGGCTTCATGAAGTAAATTGAGAAGTTAATATGTTTCAGCTGTGCTCCCACCCAAACTCTCATCTTGAATTGTAATCATCATAAGCCCCACATGTGAAGGGAGAGAGCAGGTTGAGCTAATTGAATCATGGGGGAAGTTTCCCCATGCTGTTCTCCTGAGAGTGAGTGAGCTCTCACGAGATCTGATGGTTTTATAAGTGTTTGATGGTTCCTCCTGCGTTTATTCTCCTTTCTGCTGCCTTGTGAAGAAGATGTCTTGCTTCCCCTTCACCTTCTACCACAACTATAAGTTTCCTGAGGCCTCCCCAGCCATGCTGAATTGTGAGTCAATTAAACCTCTTTCTTTTATAAATTATGCAGTCTCAGGCAGGTTTTTAAGGCAATGTGAAAACAGACTAACACATAATTTTTTCTGCTTTTCCTATATCTGAAAGAAATTATGAAGACTTGGTGTTAATTCTTGTTTAAGCTTTAGATATAATTTTCCAGTGAAACCATCTAGACCTGTGGAATTTTTGGGGGGAGTTTTCAAATGAAAAATTCATTTTCCTTTTATGGTATTAGAAGGATATGCAAACTATTTTATATTGTGTGAATTGTGACATTTTATGTTTTTCAAAGAATCGATCATTCTAAGTTGTCAAATTTATGTTTTGAGAGTTGTAGTTTTTTTTATTATAATTTGATGTCAGCAAGGTCTATAGTGAAATCCCATTTCATTTCTGATAATGGTAATTTATATCTTTTTTCCTGTCATGCTACAAGTCAGTTTTATTGACTGAACTCTTCAAACAGTCAAACTTTTATTTTATTGATTTTTCTCTATTGTTTAACTGCTTTAAATTTCAATGACTTTTACTTCATTACTTATTCCTTCTGCTTTAAGTTTATTTTGCTTTTTTTCCCCCTTGGTTCTTCAGGTTGGGGATTAGATTAAGATTTTTTTCTATTTTTCTCAGGTAGGTATTTAATGCTATAAAGTCCCCTCTCAGCACTGCTTTTGCTTTATCCTGTGAATTTGAAATGTTGAATATTCATTTTCATTCAGTTCATTGTATTTTTTAAAATTTCACTAGAGATGTTGGCTTTAAACCATGGATGTTTTAGAAATGGTCTGGTTAGTTCCTAAGTGTTCAGAGAAATTGATTTGCTTGATTGTCTGCTTGTCTTTATTGGTTTTCAGGTGGTTCCATTGTGATTGAATGATTTCACCTGTTTTAAATTTGGGATTTTTTTTTTTTTTTTATTCCATTCTGTAATATGTACCATGGGTACTTGAAAGGAATGTATATTCTTCTGTTTTAGTGTAAAGTTGCGGACAAATGCTGATTAGATTCTGTTAGTGGATGAGGTTGTTAACTTCTATACCCTTGCAGATTATCTATCTAATTGCCCTATCAATTATTGACAGATGAGTGTTAAAGTATCTACTGATAATTGTAGATTTTGTCTGTTTATGCTTTCAGTTCTATCAGTTGTTTCATGAACTATTTGCTCTCCTGTTTGGTGGATACACATTTAGGATTGCTATGTTTTCTTGGTGAAATGATCCTTCTATCATTATGCAGTGCCTTTTTTATACATGGTAATTTATTTTGTTCTTAAATCTACTTTATTTGATATTAATATAGCCACTTTAATATTTGCATGATATGTATTTTCCAACCTTTTGTTTTCAAACTACCATTACTGTTATATTTGAAGTGTGTTTCTTATAGATAACATACAGTTGCGCTATGTTGTTTAATCTATTTTGTCAGTGTCTATTTTGGGGTGGTATATTTGGAGCATTTACATTTAGTTATTGATATGTTGGGATTACTTTTGCTCTTTCATACTTTTCTGCTTTATTTCCATTTTTTTCTGCCTAATTTTGGGTTACTTGAATATATTTTGGAATCCCATTTTGACTTATTTTTAGTGTTTTTGTATATCTCTTTATATAGCCTTTTAAGTGGTTTCTCTAGCTATTAGATTATGTATACATTACTAATCACAGTCTGCTGTTTCATCAGTTTGAGTTCTCCCTATGTTCCCTTACCCTCTCCTACTTATAATTGTGTTCAACAATTCTTCCACAAACATTTCAGACTACAGTGGTGTTATAATTTTCATTTTACCCCTAGTATATGATTTGGAAAAATTGAGAACAAGGAAATTCTATTTACCCACATTTCATATGTTTGTCTTTGTTCCTTTTTAGTATTCCAAGCTTTCGTTTTATTGTTTCTTTTCTTATTAGACATCAAAACTTTAGCCATTTTGTTTTGTTTTCTTTGTTTTTGTTTTTGAGATGGAGTCTCAGTCGCCCAGGCTGGAGTGCAGTGGTGCTATCTCGGCTCACTGCAACCTCCTCCTCCTGGGTTCAACCGATTCTCCTGCCTCAGCCTCCTGAGTAGCTGCGACCACAGGTGCATTTCACCACGCCCAGCTCATTTTTTGTATTTTTAGTAGAGATGGAGTTTCACCATGTTAGCCAGGCTGGTCTCAAACTCTTGATCTCCTGATCTGCCCACGTCGGCCTCCCAAAATGCTGGGATTACAGGCCCCTTTAGCCATTTTTTAGAATCAATCTGCAAATAAATTCTCTTAGGTTTCCTTCATTTAAGAAAGTCTTAATTTCTGAGTATACAGATTTCATTTTCCCCAGGACTTGAAAAATATTGTTATTTTCTCAGGCAGTAGTTTCTGATGGGAAATCCACTGTCATTCTAATTGCATTTCCCATCATAGATAAGGTGATGCTATTATCTGGCAGCTCTTAAGACTTTCAACAGTCTTTCATTTTCAGAAATTTAAATATTATAGACTTTGTCATTATTATTTTTTTTAATTTGTGGCAGGGTCTCACTCTGTTGCCCAAGCTGGAGGGCAGTGATGCGATCACAGCTCACTGTAGCCTCAGACTTCCAGCTCAAGTGATCCTCTCTCTTCAGGCTCCTGAGTAGCTGGAACTACAGGCACGCACCACTACAACTGGCATTTTTCTTTTTATTTTATTTTATTTTTTTTTAATTTTTGAGACGGAGCCTTTCTCTGTCTCTCTCAGGCTGGAGTGCAATGGTGTGATCTCGGCTCACTGCAACCTCTGCCTCCTGCTTTCAAGCGATTCTCCTGCCTCAGCCTCCCGAGTACCTGGGATTATAGGCATGCACCACCACACCTGGCTAATTTTTGTATTTTTAGTAGAGACGGGGTTTCACCGTGTTGGCCAGGCTGGTCTCCACCTCCTGATCTCATGATCTGCCCACCTTGACCTCCCAAAGTGCTGGGATTTCAGGCATGAGCGACTGTGCCTGGCCCACCTGGCTATTTTTTTAAAAAAATTAGTAGAAACAGGGTCTTACTGTATTGCCCAAGCTGGTCTCAAATTCCTGGGCTCTAAGTGATCCTCCCAAGTGCTGGGATTACAGACGTAAGCCACTACTCCTAGCCTTAATTTCCTTGAGATTATTCTGAGATTTGCTCAGCTTCGTGAGTCTGTAGGTTTATTGAATAATTGATTTAGTCCAATCTGGAGCGGTTTCAGCCATCATTTTGTTGAAAAATTTTAACACCTGCCTCTTCCTCCTTTCCTTCTATGATTTCAATCACATAAACATTGGATCTTCTGTTATAGCCCATGGGTTCAAGAGTTTCTGTTGATTATGTTTCAGTCCATTCTCCTCCAGATTGGGTAATTTCTATTATTCTATCTTCCAGTTCATTAATCCTATTCTTTCTCTCCTCCCTTTTGCTATTAAGCTTACCCACTTTATTTTTGTATTTTGTATCTTATGTTTCAGTTCTATAATCTTCATTTGGTTCTTTATGTCTTCTATGTATTTGCTGAAACTTTTTTTTTTTTTTTTTTTTTTTTTTTTTTGAGACAGAGTCTAGCTGTATCACCAGGCTGGAGTGCAGTGGCTCTATCTTGGCTCACTGCAACCTCTGCCTCCTGGGTTCAAAGGATTTTCCTGCCTCAGCCTCCCAAGTAGCTGGGACTACAAGTGCCAGCTACCATGCCCGGCTACGTTTTTGTATTTTTAGTAGAGACAGGGTTTCACTGTGTTAGCCAGGATGGTCTCCAGCTCCTGACCTCATGATCCGCCTGCCTTGGCCTCCCAAAGTGCTGGGATTACAGGTGTGAGCCACTGAGCTGGGCTGAAACTTTCAATTTTTACTTTTGCTTCAAGTATGTTCATAATTGTTCCTTGAAGCATTTTAACATAGCTGCTTTGAAATTACTATCATATAAATCTAATAGTTCTATCATGTCAGTGTTGGCATCAGTTGATTTTCTTTCATTCAGTTTGAAATCTTCCTTCTTCCTGTTCTCTGTATAATGAATGATTTTCCAATGTGGGTATTATGGTATAAAAATATAGATTTCATTTAATTTTCTGTCTTCACTTGCTTTCCCTGACACCATTTTTACAGGAGAAAGGAGTGGGGCACTCTATTACTGCCAGTTGAAGATAGTAGTCTAAATTCTCTACATAGTTTCCATTGTCATACAAAATGAGAGGATTCCTCCTTGCTACTGGACAGAAGTTCCTACTGAGACTTCTGGTCTCTACATGGGCTCCATGATGGTGAAGGCTTTATTCATCCTGAGTGTTGATGAGAGTCCTGACTCTCTACCATCTTCAGATACAGCCCACGTAGAGAGGGACAAAGGTAACTTATTAACGCTAAAAGGGATTGTAGTCCAGGCTTCCCCTGTTTTCAACACTGACATCACACATTTGGCACTCATTGCCAGTCAGTGAAAATGAAATTCCTAATTTCCTACCTGGTCTTATCTGACACTAGGCTTGCAGGAATTAGGGGAAGCTTTTTGTGGCCTAGTAAGTGTGAAATTCAAGGCTTCCCACTTGTCCTTTGCTGATGTAGATGAGTGTAGAACAACAGTTTTCTGTGACGTTTAGCTGGATCACAACAGTTACTATTTAAAGTTTGTCTTGATAGACTGTCTCTTTGGGCTAAAGAGAACATCTTTTGTCATCGGGGAATTTTTGTCTGTTTTTATTGCCATCTTCATTTTCTTCAACTCCAAGTTTAAGATTTAGGAGGCAAAAACAAAAAAATACGAAAGGCAGTCTTCCTTCTTTCTATCTTTCAGTGTCTTATATTTTCCCCTTAAATTTTAAACACTAATATTTAGTTCACAATTTTAAAATCATCTGAAGTTTTGAATATTGCTGAAATATTACATTATATACTATTACAGTAGTCTGCTTGTCAGTGGTTTCACTTTTCAGTTTTTGTTACCTGCAATCGGTCAAGATCTGACAATATTAAATGGAAAATTTTAGAAATAAGCAATTCACGATTTTAAACTGCACATTGTTCTGAGTAGCATGATGAAGTCTAACACGTTCCTGCTCTGTCTTGCCCAGGATGTGAATTATCCCTTTGTCCAGCATATCCATGATCTCTAAGCTACCTGCCCATGAGTCAATAAGTAGCCCTTTGGTTTATAAGATTGATTGTCACAGTATCATAGTGCATGTGTTCGGGTAACCCTCAGTTTACTTCATAATAGCCTCAAGTGCAAGAATAGTGATGCTGGCAATTTGGATATGCCAAAGAGAAGCCACAAAATCCTTTAAGTGCATAAGTAAAGGTTCTTGCTATCATATATGGAAAGAAAAAAAACAACCATACGCTGCAGTTCCTAAGCTCTACGGTAAGAACAACTCTTCTATCTGAGAAATTGTGACAGAATACTGTTACAATTGTTCTATTTTATTATTAACTTTCACTGTGCTAAATTTATAAATTAAACTTTATCATAGGTATATATGCATACAAGAAAGCAGTGTATATAGTGTTTAATACTATCCATGGTTTCAGGCATCCACTGGGTGTTTTAGAACATATACCATGTGGATAAGGAGCAACTACTATACCTCCAAACTACTTTTCTACTTTATTATAACATGTGTCATTTGGCTAATGATATTTTAGGTTGTCATATATATGTGTCAGCTGCTAACATACTCTTGAGGGGCTGGAGAGATGAAAAATTTTCAGTAAGCTACCAAAAACAATTTGTAAAAAGCCGTTATGTATAATAAGCAATAAATAACAAGTAAATGGAAAATAAAGATGGGAACATATTTGTACATAAGTGATAGTTATGACTCAAAGCAATGAGAGTAACACTAACAAACTAATTTTTTTTTAAATCAAGAAAATTAAGAGATAATAGACTGAAGGCAAATGATGAATAAAAGCAGAGACGGTTCAATCATATTAGCAACCAAAGTCAACAATAATTGTTCACCAGATGTTTGATAAAAATTTGTAGATGATGCTGATGAGGTTGTCATCTAATAACATACTCATGTATTGCAAATTGGAATGAAAACTTTGTTTTACAGCATTTTGGCAATATAAGTCAAGACTCTTAAGAACTGTTTATACATTAACTCAATATATCCATTGATAACAAGTCAATTATCAGAATGAATATAACATCAGCGAAAAAATGCATATATGCTTTAGCATTTTCCATGATACATCAGTTGAAATAGACTACTGTCTAATAAAATCTTTACATTTTTTCTCTGTGATGTTTAGCTGAATCACTGCAGTTACTACTTAAATTTCCTGTCTTGATAGTCTGTCTCTTTCCTCATCCTTTGGGCTAGAGAGAACATCTCTTGTCATCAGGGAATTTTTCTGTTCTTTTTGGCATCTTCAGCTTCTTCAGCTCCAAGTTTAAGACTTAAGGGGCAAAATAATAATGATGTTATGAGACACATGTGGTATCTATTACTGAAAGTAGTGTTTATCAAAATATTTAGTGGCAAGGAAATAGAAAAGAAAAATTAGAGTATAGAATAGTAGCTACAGAATGAACTCAGCAATGTAAAAAATATTATGTCTACATACCCATTACGTAAAACCATTAGTTTTCTAATAACAGTTTTAGATTGAGAGGAGTAAAAACACGATTAATGCCAGACTAAACTATTATATCTATATGCTTTATTTTCTGTCCTGTTACATTTCTAAGTGTTTTTTGTTGCTCTCTTTTCCATGGATCTCTTTTTAAATTTCTTTCTGCTTTTTAAGAACGTTTAAATCACTTTATTTTAATACATTAGCCACATCTTATGAGATTTTCTTTTAATCCAATATTTTTCTGAGGGATTAAACAAATGTCTTTCAATATATAATAGCTCTCACAAAGCAAAGTCCTTCGGGACATGCACAAGTTTAAATAGAAAGTAAGAAAGTAACTTTAAGTAGAAAAAGCAGGCCGGGCACAGTGGCTGACACCTGTAATGCCAGCACTTTGGAAGGCCAAGGCAGGCGGATCACCTGAGGTCAGGAGTTCAAGACTAGCCTGTCCAACATGGTGAAACCCCGTCTCTATGAAAAATACAAAAATTAGCTGGGCATGATGGTGGGTGCCTGTCATCCCAGCTACTTGGGAGACTGAGGTAGGAGAATCACTTGAACCCGGGAGGCTGAGGTTGCAGTTAGCTGAGACTGCACCATTGCACTGCGGCCTGGGCGACAGAGCTAGACTCTGTCTCCAAAAAAAAACAAAAAAGAGCAAAGACGTGAATAAGTACCGATTGAATAGAAAATTAAGTGTTTTGGTGTTACTTCAAAGTTAGTATCTACTTTCCATTTTAATATTCTTAAAAGTGTTTATTATGAATGTAGATATATAATATCTCTAAGTCACTGAAAAAAAGAAAGTAAATATTTGACTAGTGAGGAATCTGCAGCAAAATGAGAAACAACAAAATATAAATTTTTAAAACTGAGTGAGCAGTGATTTCTATATATTCCAACATATCTAGATTTTGTAAATTTGAAATATAGCCTACTTACTAATTTAAAAATTACTAAAACTAATAAAGTTAGTGATAAACAGATCATTTGAAGGGTACTAATTGCTGTAGACTAGGATGAACTTGAAGGATCTATACAGATGTGTCAGTGAGTGATGCTAAGCAAATTTAATAAAGCCACTTTTGGTTAATCCCCGGTAACCCTTCAAACAATTTTGTGGTAGGCTCACTAGTGATGCCCCTGAACAATAGTCTTCAAATCAATCAAGATTTTGCCTCACTTTATTAATTCCTATTACTTACTGAACTTTCCTTAAGAATAGTCTTTTGTAAGGCTATCTGCCTAATCTTTCGGCTGTAATGATAACCCTTAGTATAGATTGTAAATTTTTGTATTCCCTGGATGTTAATGACAGAAAATTTAGATTCCCCATCTCACAAGAAGAAAACCCATACATAAAGAGTTTACTAACAGTAAAAATGAAAACAAAAATTGACTTTGTCTACATATATATTTAAAGAAAATCTACACGGCTATGCATTTTTAAAAATCATAAAAATGTTATTAGGGTAGTCAGAAAGAATCATAGTTTTCAAAATTTTTTTTTTTTTTTTTTTTGAGATGGAGTCTTGCTCTGTCACCCAGGCTGGAGTGCCAGTGGTGCAACCTCAGCTCACTGCAACCTCCACCTCCCGGGTTTAAGTGATCCTCCCACCTCAGCCTCCCGAGTAGCTGGGATTACACGCGCCCAGCTAATTTTTGTATTTTTAGTAGAGACGGAGTTTTATCACGTTGGCCAGGCTGGTCTTGAACTCCTGACCTAAGGTGATCTGCCTACCTCGACCTCACAAAGTGCTTGGATTACAGGCATTAGCCACCATACCCTAATAATCATATTTTTATGTTATTCTTTAGTTTGTTCGGAACACGTTCACATAATTATGGCGCTTGATAGCTGGAATCATATTTAAAAAGAATGTGTTTTACAAAGGCCTTCTAGGACACATTTTAATAATTATTTCAAAATGGAACATATATTACTTTGAGCTAGATGTCAAAGAAGCAAAAATACAACAGTAGCATGAAGAAACTGAAAATACTGGACAATTTGACACCCAATGATTGATGTATCTGGGATCAATATTTTTCTATAAAAGCTTTGTGAAAATATTAAATGTTTTTCTTAGCCCTGTATAGTTTGTACACATTTAAGGACTGAATGAGAACATAAAAAACAGCACGCAAATTTTTAAAAATTAAAACATAAATTACTTGAAGTTATACCTTTAAAGTGTATTTCTATAAAATGTATAAAAAGAATATATGACATTTTAGAATTTTTAATTTAGGGTGAGGGTTATTTAACTTATATTCTGATTTCTACACGCAGACAATATTAATGTTATAGAAATGGACAACCTTAAAAACTAAAATATTAATTTTCAAATGTCCTTTATTGATGACAAATTTCTGATACACATCTTTCAAACAAGATTTTGGTTACAAATAGAAAAAAAACTGGAAAAAAGCCAAGTTCTTATTTCGTAACTTTTTATTAGTACTTTTGTGATTATTCATATGAAAATTTTAAGATAGGTGATATGGTTTGGCTCTATGTCCCCATCCAAATCTCATCTCGAATTGTAATCTCCATGTGTAATTCCCATGCAATCCCAGGAGGGACCTGGTGGGAGGTGATTGGATCATAGGGGTGATTTCTACCATAACATTCTCTTGATAGTGAGTTTTCATGAGATCTGATGGTTTAAAAGTGTGGCACTTCCCTCTCTGCCTCTCTCAAGATGTGCCTTGCTTCCCCTTCGCCTTCTGCCATGATTGTAAGTTTCCTGAGGTCTCCCCAGCCATGCAGAACTGTGAGTCAATTAAACCTGTTTTTCCTCATAAATTACCCAGTCTCAGGTAGTTCTTTATAGTAGTGTGAAAACAAATGAATACAATAAGTAAAATCTTACATAAATTAAAGCAATATCAAAATTTCTATTTTAATTTAAAGGTATTTCAAAGTTTTCCTCCAGGATTTTAAGGGTTACTTATATGACATACTATAAGCAAAATTACAGAGCAAATAAGCAGTAGCCTAAGCATGTGCCCATGGGGTTATGCAGTACAAGGTAAGAATAAGGAAAAGTTGAGAAGAGCATTGTGTATACCACTCTTGTATGCAATGGTTCATATCAGTCCTATAATTTCTATATTGCTAAATATCATTAAAAAATTTCAGAGTACCTAATTATCTCTTTATATGCATAGGAGGAAGAGTCTTTTAGACGTAAGGTATTGCTTCAAATAGAGAAACTTTTGAAAAAAGGGGAAATAAAATTAAATGCTATTATAAATACAGTCATCAGCCAGTTGCAATATTCCAATAATTTGCTTAAAATATATACCATTACTATAGTAAACTATGCATGAGAAGAGCAGATGCATGTAAAATTTCTCCAAGCATTGTGATAATTATTTTGTGATGCTTAAATACAGAGGTAAATAACTCAGATAAACTTTCCTATTTAAAACTTTTTTTTTTTGAGATGGAGTCTCCCTCTGTCACCCAGACTGGAGTGCAGTGGTGCAATCTTGGTTGACTGCAACCTCTGCCTCCTGGGTTCAAGTGATTCTCCTGCCCCAGCCTCCCAAGTAGCTGGGATTACAGGCACCTGCCACCATCACCAGCTAATTTTTACATTTTTAGTAGAGACGAGTTTTCACAATGTTGCCCAGGCTGGTCTCGAACTCCTGACCTCAAGTGATCTGCCTGTCTCAGCCTCCAAAAGTGCAGGGATTACAGGCATGAGCCACTGCACCTGGCCAGAAAATATTTTAAAAATTGACTAGACTTCAGGCTTTTCAAGCATGTTCTTGGTACAGTGTTTGAGTGATAGCAGGCTCTCAATGGATGGTTTTTGGATAAATGCTGCTAGATTCTGCAGATTGGCTCATTTGGCACCCTCTCTGAATCCCTTCTCCCTAGCATTCCTCTGTTATTGTGGTTGAACTCTAGGAACAAAATCATCTATATTTTTTCACAGCAAGGACTTGCCATATGACCTCAGTTAGGGCAAACAGATATATTATATCTCTATAAGACTTGGGAAGGCAGAAGTTAGTAATGTGATATGGTAGCTCTATATGAAAACATATAACACAAGTGTTTGGTTCTCTTAGGGAAGATCTAGCAGAGACTTTCCTCTTTTTTTTTTTTTTTTTTAAGTGATTTAATGGTATTTCCTAGGAGGTGATTTAATGGTATTTCCATTAGGACCATCCCACTTACATTTGGATACCGTTTCCTGGTCATATTGTTCCAGCGTCGCTGCATTACTGTATAGGTTTCTGGCAGGCAATAGTATTTTTCATGCTGTATACCCTTACCAAGCTATGTATTCAAAGAGTGGTTTGTTTAGAAGAAAATCTTTTTCTAATTCATACAAATTTGCCCTATGGGCTTGTTGCACCAGCCTCATTGCTAGCAATGTAGCATTCAGCCTTGTTTATTTTGTCTTTCTAGAAATTTTGTAGGCAAACTAATACAAGATTCCCTTTTCTGTTTAAAAGGATTACATTGAACTCTGTTTGCAACTTATAAAGTCTAACTGAAATGAAGTTCTTACTTCATTACCCTCTTACTGGATAACTGGTAGTTCTATTGCAATTAAATGAAATTCTCTTCTTCATGTTTCCTGTTTACATACTTACAACACCTACATTAAAGGAAACATTTGGACCAATAGTCTACAATATTGGAAATGCTTTTCTTGGTAGGTATTCTCTTTCACAGAGGGGAAAGCTATTCAGTATAATTGATTATATGAATGCTCACATCTTATTTCTTACATTTTTTCTAAATTATCTTATTTTCTTTGAATTGAAACCAAGCATAAAATCCTATGTATGTGAAACC
Source organism: Homo sapiens (assembly GCF_000001405.40). Lineage (NCBI taxonomy): Eukaryota > Metazoa > Chordata > Mammalia > Primates > Hominidae > Homo > Homo sapiens. The sequence continues at coordinate 70,425,420 of NC_000013.11, read as the reverse complement.
AAGCAAAAAATGACTTGTTTGCTTCAGGAAATACTTGTAACTGTAAGATAATCTAGAAAACATCTAAAACCACTTCCTTACCAAGACTACAGTTTCTTCATTAGAACTACAATCACACATATCTTAATGATGGAAGAAATGTGTTCTCAGAAATGTGTTTGTAGATAATTCTGTCATTGTGTGAACATCACAAAATGTACTTAGACAAACCTAGATGGTATAACCTAGTGCTCCTAGGCTCCAAACCTGTAGAGCATGCTACTGTACTGAATACTGTAAGCAATTGTTAACACAGTGAGAGTATTTGCATATCTAAGCATTGAAAAGGCCAGTAAAAATACAGTACTGTAATTTTAGGAGACTACTGTTGTATGTGTTGTTCATCACTGACTGAAAAGTCATTATTTGGCACAGGACTGTATTCTAGTAAACTTCTACTTCATCAAGATTTGCTTCAAAACTCTTATCTTATATTCCTTCTTTATTAAGAGCTATTATATCTTTAGTTTTGCTCAATCTTAGTGATTCAGAAGCTAGACAGAAATTATTTAGGCAGATAGTGAAGGTAAATAAGTCCTCGGCAAGGCTTCCCTTTTAGTAAAAAGCCGCTCCCCAATCATTTTCTTTTTCTAACAAAGAGCAGCCTGAAAAATCGAGCTGCAAACATAGATAAGCAAGCTGGAAACTTGCATGGGTGAGTGCTAGCAGCTGTGCCAATAGAAAAGGGCTTCCTGGAAGCCAGGTATGTTCAAAATGGAGGCTCCATCTTCCCTTTTCTTTGTCACCGTGTGTGCGATAAAGAGGCAGGCAACATGATGTTGGCCAGGTGGAGAACCTATCTGCAAAATAAAAGACTAGGGGGCGGGGCAGCCAGCCTCTTTGTGCACTATGCAAATGGCACAGATTTTTCAACCAATCTTTCGTGCCCTATGTGAATCAGATACTGCCCCCTCAAGCTCACCTAAAAAACCTTCTGCGTTTCACCATGGAAGCAGCAACCCATTTTCTCTGGGACCACTCTCTGCTTCCAGAGCTCTTCTTTCTTTCACCTACAAAACTTCCGCTCTTACCCTTACTCTGGTGTGCCCATGTCAGTTTTCATGACTGTGGCTCAACGAACCTTGGGTAGTACCCCAGACAACAATGTGGCTTCACTAGTACATTCTCTACCTTTCAAATTCTGCCTTAAAATCACCCAGCCCAAGACTTCTAATTCAATTAGACTTAAAATTCCCTGGGGAAAAATTTTTTTTGGAACTAATAAAACAACGTTTACAATTCCTTGTTTCTAATATATTCATTATAACTTAAAATATGAAGTTTAAATTAGTAAATCTTTAGCAATAAAGCTTATAATTTGACTTACTTTTCTGTAAATGATTACAGACTGTAGCTGGAGATCATTTCTTGACACACAGGATTTATAATTAATTAGCTGACTAATTTCTAGTCAACAAAGTAAAATAAAACAAAGCTAATTGTCTCCTGTAAAGATAAAATCTCTAAAATTTCCCCCATTAACACATGTTTAAACCTGACTACATACTAATTGGTTAATTGGTTATTTAATTTTAAATAAAAATGTTTATTATCTAAACAGTCCTCATTCCAATGTTTTGTTCTCTAATATTTCAAGGATCAAATATAGTTGTGTGTGTGTGTGTGTGTGTGTGTGTGTGTGTGTTGAAATATGACCTAATTTCAAAACACTTTCCTACTAGAATCCAAAAAAAAATAAAGAGAATCTACAAAATCAAAGAATTGCCAATAACCATCAATGGCTGTAAAAATACTATGAATTATCCATTTCAAGGGTCTTTGGATTTACAACAAACTCAAGAGTTCATTTTCAAATATTTCCTCTAATTCAATTATCTCAATCATCCTGAAGTTCATCCAGCTGGCATGCTTTTTCTTGAGTCAATTATCAACTTCCTACAAACCTAAAAAGCTATCCTTCACCTGAGGTGGTATCTATGGACAGACATACAAATCACTATTGTTTCTGTTAGACTTAAAACATCTACATGAGTTAGTGATAGAGAAGTTTCCTTAAACCTAGTGTAGGGTTGCAGGCATGAACAAGGCGTTTAAGTTTCTTCAAAAGAAAAGCATTATGAATTTAATTTACTTTAGGAAAGCTAACTTCATCATTTTCAGGGAAAAAAAGGCTCTTAGCTCAAAATAAAAATCACTGAAGGTGGAACTTAAAATTTTTATTTTAAAAAGGAAAATAATTCAATTCTCAAGGAAAAAGTGAATCAATATGTCTCCAGGAAAAGAGTTCATGTGTTTTGCTGGAGACATAATTGAAAAGCAAATCTCTCAACCTTGAAAATCTCTCCACAAAGGCAATAAAGAAAACAATTTTATTGTTGAACAAGCATTAAACCAGAATGTAATGTGCAACACAGGTAATCTGCTAAAAGAGTTCAAATACACAAAGACCTGTCACCATCAGAAATTTTTATAAAATAACAAATCATTAAAAAAATTCCTTCAGCCTCTACCAACTTGGGTTCTCTGTTCCCTCTCTCATGTTTCTCATTTACACTCTTGTAACAGAAAAACCTTTGTGCATTCGCACTCATCCATAAACGAGTTTCCTCCCAAATTAAATAAATGTTATTAATCTCACTTTTATATAATTTATACATATTTAAATAAACATATTTAAATCAACACTACAAAATTTAGTATTAATTTTTTGCAGTAATCACATGTTGATTATTTTAAAAACTAAGCCTTGGTGCAACCCTGTCTCTACAAAAAAATTACAAAAATTAGCCAGGCCTGGTGGTGTGCACCTATAGTCCCAGCTACTTAGGAGGCTGTGGTGGGAGGATCACTGGGGCCCAGGAGTTTGAGGCTTCAGTGAGCAGTGATCCTGCCACTGTACTCCAGGCTGGGTGACACAATATGACCCTATCTCAATAAAAAGTAAATTTTATTTAAAATTAAACCTATTCATCATTGTAATAAATAAACCCTGTTCTTTTAAAGATGCTAAATACATCTATAAAATGATTAGGTAACGTTCCCCAAGAAAATACTTTTTTAGATAATTTCCAAAATTATCATTACATGGCACAATAATACATGAAATACAGGAAAAAGAATGCGTTTGACAGACTAAGTAGCTTTTATTCTTTGCCTTGAAATATTTTCTTACAACTTTCCTTGGGGAAAATGTGTCCTTGTTGAATATACCTATTTAAATGTCCTATAAAATGGTTATGTTACTTGCTATAGAACAATTTGACCAGTTTATGCTCACACAAATAGAACTGTAGTGTTATATATCTAAGATCTGCCAAAATGTTCTTACCTACTACACTGAAAGTGCCCATGATCTTCTATTATTTTTCTTTAAATATTTTATGCTCTTGACAGAAATCCAATAGTGCTTGCATGGTTTGATGTTTTGGGTTTTCAAGGTCATTTCAGTGGTTGATAGATCATGGTATCTATAAATACACATTTTGCAGCTCTGTATCTGGTGACCTGCTACTGTATAAAATTAGAAATTGTTTTCAGTATAATCTTGCTACTGCAGCTGATACTCCTGATAAATAATTATAGTTTTTTATAAATGTATTTCCATTTTGAATTTTACTATGAAATGGCAACTTTTGCCATTTAAGACATCAAATTTAGTAATTATAAACCAGACTATTACAATGGCTTAGGACAATATTTGAAATAAATGAAGTAGTAGGTATTTCATCTTCAGTGGAGGTGGATAGGCATCTATAGGTATGAAAATATAAGCGTTTAACAAGTATTTAAATGATGACTTACAGATAAATGAATTTAAATCAAAGGAACTTAAAATTCACTTTGCTATTGGCATAAACTTCTTTGATATTGTTCAGTGAAATATACTTCTCCTATTATAAAACCAACATCCTATTTTATTCAATTTATTTCATTCAAATACCTTTGGTCCCTTCTTGTGTGGAACCATTCATACTTTGCAAATTCTGTCTGTAAGACCCTCTAAAAATGTGGCAAAGATAAATCAAAATGTCTCTAAAGACCAACTAGAGTCAAGAAACATCTTGGCACTTGGAGCAGATCACCAAATTCTAGAAATATTTCCCATATTACCAAGTCTGACAGCTAAAATACAATTTTAATGATACCTTTAAGGATAAACAGCAACTATTGCTTGTTGGTTGTTTTTAAACGTCACTCTCACTCTGCCTCCCTACTACCCTACTTGTCCAATCTAAAAACAAAACAAAGCAAAATAAATTACTTTTAAAGGAGTTCGACATTCTCACATACCTACCTCAAAACATTTTGTGTGGATTTGCTGTGGGTCCTTTGAAATTTCCAATATCTTGTTTCAGAAAAAATATATGCCAAATAAAATGCTCAAAAGTGCAACTTTCTTAGAAAGGAGGTATTCCAGACTTAGTCCTAGTGATTCAGTAGTATATTGCCCTTGGGTAGACAAATGTTTTTGTTGTAGACAAATGTTTCTGTTGTAAGGTGGGCTATTTTCTGCCCATGTGTGGAAGTGTTTGATGTTTGAAAAAGCAATGCATATTATAAAGGATTAAAATCTTGTCCCCAAAAAGGAATGAGACTAGGGATATGAAACGAATAATTCAATTAAATTGATTCTGGAAAGTCTGAGAAAATCTTACACATGGATATGGACACATACTTGGTACCACAAAAATACATGAACATGATTATCACATGGTAGAACAAGCTTTTAACTAAAATGTTAATAGGTTTTAAGAAGTATTTCAATATTTAAATGCTTTGTCATTCAGTCTTAATGTCTATTACATATGTACAATGAACATACACAATATCTATAAAACTATATGTAAATAATAATCAGTGTTTAAATTTAAATGCATTTTTATCTCTTTTGGAATGTAAAATGTGAGATTGTTAAATAATATTTTACAAAGTTGTCCAAAAGCCAAAGTACTGTTAAAAAGGAAAGAAATAGCCTATTAATATTTCACATTTCTGTGCTTAAAAGGATTATTTTTTTAAATATAAACAGAAGTATATGCAGAAATTATAAATGTAGGCACCTCAAACAGTAGCACATTTACACATTTAAAATATGCATTGTTCCAAACAAAAGATGACAGTCGGCTCTTCACTGCTATGTACATGTGATTGAGAGGTAAGATGTGTGATCAGCAGTTCTTGCCAATGGACTCAAGAGAGGCTATAACTTGCTTTGCTGTCAGACTCTCTAGTGAGCTCTAGTTTGGAGCTATCAGCAATTGCTAGTTTGTTTTGCAAGCTGCATAATGCTTTTATTCCAACTAAGGAAGGTATTGGATATTCAATTAGAATCAAGCTTTTCTCTTGAAGACTGAGAGAAATATTTTCTTCACTCTGTGCATCTTGAGATAGTGTCTTAACTAAATGACATCATTCTCCCTTGAAATACTTTTGTATAAATATCATACATACACATCATTAGGCCTCAATTAGTATTTAAGTAGTTATTAATAGATGTTTCTATTTTAGCTATGCACCAATACCCCATCCATTACCAATGAAAACAACATTTCAAATTCTTGGTTTAAATTCTATTAGAATACGCTCTTAATAGTAAATTCCAACTATATTATTGGCTTACAAAGACTTTCTTCATTAGAAGGCTCTACTTGGCAATACCTAGGCCAGCTAGTAAGGTTTACTAGTTTATAAATTAGCAATTGTCACTGCTTTGAAATATATAATTTATTGTTATTGCATTAAAAAATTCTTGGAATATTGGTTTAGGTCATTTCACATTTATGCACTTAACCTTTTCAGTACTAAAATCCATGATTCTTTGGCAGGCTCTCAACAGGCTGTATAGTGCTTAATTTTTGTTCTCATAAATTGGAATATAATTCAGTAATATAAATTACTTATCCAAAATTGATCTGACTCTGGAAGCTAACAAATTAGGCATATCATTTAAATGAGTTACTGCCTATTATGTCAGAATATTTCATTCATTTTCATGGTCTAATTACATCAATCAGTTGCATCTGATAACTTTTAAAGTAGGCTTGCTATAAGTCATAAATATATGAAGAACAAAATTACATCAATCAATTATCAAGAGATCCAGTTTTATGAAGTAGTATGCCAAAGTTATATCATAGCTATTTTACTTAATATGTAATTAATACTGTTTAAAATTTGCTAATTTACATTGAATTTTAAAGGCTGTACAATTTTAACAACAAAGAAGAATGCATTTTAACGATATTCTCTGAACATCACTTCATACTTTAATCCTCAAAACAGACCAATAATTTAAATTGAAAAATATCTTTATATCAGGACAAATGAAATAAAAATGGTTCTTCATTTAAATGTCTTTGTTACGCACTATTTCAAAACTTCCTTTTACTTCTCTGGAAATCTCTTCATCCTGAATGGATTTATGTGATATTCCTTTTGATATTAATGCAAGCTGCACCTATCTAATTTGTATTGTTTCAAAATGACTTGCAGAAGCAAGGCTGTTAGAAAGGATGCTGATAATACAGCATGAGCCTTCAAAGATATATTTTTAGAAGAATCATTTCCAATTATCCTGGAATCATTTTTCCTCCTTGTGATTCCCAAAGAATTTTATTATTATTGGACAGTTTTCTTATTTTTCCCCTCATTAATTATTCATGAATTATCTTATTTTCCTTTTTCAACAGCTAGACTCTAAATTTCCTGTTATCTTTTCAACAGCTAGACCCTAAGTAAGTTTCTTGTTGACAAGAATAATATCTTTGATCTAAGTGCTCATCAGTGTTTGGACATAATGAGCACTCAAAAATTACCTGTTGTGTTAAAATACTTCCCATGTAAGCATACCTTCATTTCTTTTTTCAGTTCCCGCCTACAGATTTTAGATGAAATATCTGAATTTTTAATCAATATTTTTCTACTTTTTTCATAGTCTGTGACCTCAATTCCATTATGGAGATACACTGTGGATTAAGAATGTTCTATAATCCTAACTTTTTTTCTTTTGGGGATGGAGTCTTCCTCTGTCACCCAGGCTGGAGTGCAGTGGCAGAATCTCAGCTCACTGCAACCTCTGCCTCCCAGGTTCAAGCAATTTTTGCCTCAGCCTCCCAAGTAGCTGGGATTACAGCCATGCACCACCACACCCAGCTAATTTGTGTATTTTTAGTAGAGACAGGGATTCACCGTGTTGGTCGGGCTGGTCTCAAACTCCTGACCTCAAATGATCTGCCCATCTCAGCCTCCCAAAGTGCTGGGAATACAGGAATGAGCCACTGCACCTGGCCATATGATCCTAGCTTTTCTATCCTCACTGTGAAAGGTAAAAGTGTATGTTAGTTAAAAAGTATATCATGGCAACTTTGGTATGTGTTGCTTGTGTTATTTATAATTGGTTTTTAGCAAAATTAAAATGCAGAGACAAAAATGTGGATGAAAGGAATACAATACAGAGCAACTGTAATTTAGATATGAGGTAAGAGCTACGAACAATGAGGAGGCTGTAATTTGCCATGGATAGAGTATCCTTTGCTACACTTATTCCATGAGTAAACTCTATTTCCTCGGTGCTGAGCTTTCTGAGAATCTGGATATTTTTACATTACTAAGGCATCCCCCTTAACTTGTATTCCCAATGCCATTCTCTCATGACCCTAATCTAAAATAAGTTTGCTTTAGTATGAAATCTACCCAATTAAACAAACACTCACTGTCCTACTATAGTGAGATTTCAGGAAAACATTTGGAAATATAAATGTATAATGTAGCATGTTAGTATCCAAGGTGGTTCAATATGAGTGTTTTATTGAATTTGTTTTGTTTTTAGACCAGACTTCAGTCATTGGTATGTCTGCTGCAACTCTCTTTAGCTAGTATGGAAGAATATGTAACTCTCTGAGAAAAGATACACCACCCCACCATGCACAGTTTTGGAGAGAAAATCAAGGCTGTGTCTTTTAACATCTTATAGTGTGAGAGTCATTGTGAGGCTCACACAAAACACAAAGCTTATTGGAAGAAGCTACCTTCCTAAGCATTTCAGTATTAAATATTACTTAGAAATACCTTGTGGAGAAATATGCACTTAGACACTGAGAATGAACTATCTAAAACAAGAAATTGATTATCCAACACTAGACACTGAATATGAAACATAAGACATGCAGAAAAAGATATGTAGACCTGAAAGAAGTTTCCAGGTATAATAGGAAGAATTCCAAGGAAGACCCTCCAATATTCTCATAACCTGGGTTTTGCAATCAAGCATAAATCTAGGTACTAATTTGAAGAGATTTTGCACATGGAAATAAGGTTACTAATTAGATTTGCTAACCTTTAAATGGAGAGATTATCTTGGGTTCTACTAAACTCATTGAACTCTGTTATCTAATTTTCCTTTAACTCTTTGAAGTATTTGCAACTATTGATAAATATTTCATTTTTCCTTTCTTTATTTGGTTTCAATTATCTGACTTTTTTTCTGTTCTGAACTGTGCTTTTGTGTTTTCTTCACTGTCTTCTATTCTTTACATCTCTCTCTCCCTAAAACTGTGTTCCATACTTCTGCGTTTTTTTCCCCTCTATCTCAAATAATTTTCTTTGGTTTCATGCAATTCTGTGCCTTTAACTATTACTGTTATAGACAATTCTGTGTCTATAACTATATCTAGCTACATATATCCAATACATATTACAAAATTAATGGAAGCCAAATTAAACTGATGTTTTGAATTTTTACTGCTAAATCTAAAGATGTGTTTCATCTGCTTGCTCTATATTTTTCTCCAGATTTTCCACTAACGTTGTCGATTATATATGTCCCAAATCTCCTTTCCAACACAATCAGTTCTTTTTCTTTGCTATACCTACAAAAGAACTATCCCTTAAGAAAAACCAGCTAAATTGCTTTGCATGGTCTTTCACAATTTGAATTTCTTTATCTAATTGTTTTCAAATTGGTGTAGAATCTACCTCAACTACTTCTCTCATAAATAATGCCTCCTTCCCATTCTGATTATTCTCTTGCCATGCTTATTGCAAAATCATTGTAGATAATTCCACATTTTTTCCAAATTGTCCTGAATGCTATAGTTTTTAAAACACATCACTACTTTTGCCACTCACTTGGCCAAAATCTTTCTAACCACATTGCATGCAAATTCTCCCTTCTCTTTGGCCCCACCTAAAGTATCATTTTAAACTTTTCTGCCCTCTGATTTCCTATATAATCATCCATATAAGCATGTCGTGTAGCTTCCTGCTAGCAGGAATTTCCTAATGTGTTACTCTCTAACAGAAATTCCAGCCTCCTGGTATTATTAGCCCCTGGCCCCATTCTATCTTTTCTTTATAAATTTCCTTTGGATTTCAAAACTACATGATGCCCCCCCTTTTTTTTTTTTTTTTTTTTTTTTTTTTTAACATCCACTGAGTCTCTTTTTGTTTTTGTTTTCTTTAGATAGGGTCTGTCTCTTCACCCAGGCTGGAGTGCAGTGGCGTGATCATGGCTTACCGCAGCCTAAACCTCCCTGTGCTTGGGTGATCCTCCCATCTCAGCCTCTGGAGTAGCTAGCACTACAGGCACTGACGACCACGCCCAGCTTTTTTTTTTTTTTTTGTATTTTTTGTACAAATGAGATTTCCTTATGTTGCCCAAGCTGGTCTGAAACTCCTGGGCTCAAGTGATTTGCCCACTTCAGCCTCCCAGTGTTGGGATTACAAGCATGAGCCGCCCCGCCCGGCCTACTGGGCTTCTTTAACAACGTTGATTTTACTTTGCCTTACCTTGGACTTTCTCATGTTTATACCTCATGTTCTCATGTCAAATTGTATTTTTACATGCAGCCCCCAACCCATTTCCTTGTTCCTAGGCCATATTTAAGACATTTATTTTTATTTAATTTATTGATTTGAATGAATAAGTAGAATAAACTGCTAAATTTACCTTAAAAATAAATAAGGCATTTACATTTATCTTTAACAAATATTTTACCTTTCTCTCAATAAGTGTGACAAGCCATCTATTCATTTACATCATCCCATAAAAACTTCAGAAGGGCTGCAGGAAACATGACAACTATTGGCATGCCTTCACTTCCTGCAGTGTAGAGTAGTACAAGGTTTATTACTCTGTCAATTATTTCCCAACAATGATCATTCTTTCCTTGAACTGGTGTGTGTGTACTCTAACAATTCTAATACAAGCTGACACTAAATGGAATTAAATGACAGAATAAACTAATATTAGAAAAAGACAGTATGTTGCTGTTGACCTATACACTGAAACTGGCTCAAAAATAAAATGCAAGAGCTAGAATTGTCTTTCCACAATGTGATACTTATTTTGATTACCACTTTACCACTTTAGGGGGAAATTTTCTATAAGATAACATGGAAGTGTATAGCAGCAATAGTGTGTGTGTGTGTATGTGTATATACACATATAGATATAGTGTGTGTGTGTGTGTGTATATATGTATATTCAACACAACTGAAAACATTAACATACCCTTATAAGGTATTTTAAAACTCTTGTTAGTCATTTTTATTCCTCACCTATCAACTTCATTTGGTTTCTGTTAGATTTTTAGTGTGCATATTATACAGAGTTTCTTAGAATATAAAGTTCTCATGTATCATGCAAGGTTCTTGGGAATATTCACACTCTGTAGATCTGGGATAGGGTATGAAATTCTGGATTTTTAATGTGCTGCTTTAATATGCTACAATTAATTGAATTAATTGGCAGTTAATGCTAGTGTTGCTGATATAATGACTGCTTTTAGAAGCAAGAAAATAAGCAGTTTAATCTTTCATTTCTTTTTTTATTATTATACTTTAAGTTCTATGGTACATGTACACAAGGTGCAGGTTTATTACATATGTATACATGTGTCGTGTTGGTGTGCTACACCCGTTAACCCGTCATTTACATTAGGTATATCTCCTAATGCTATCCCTCCCCCATCCCCCCACCCCAGGACAGGCCTGGTGTGTGATGTTCCCCACCGTGTGTCCAAGTGTTCTCATTGTTCAATTCCTACCTATGAGTGAGAACATGTGGTGTTAACCTTTCATTTTTTTAACAGCTCTGAAAAACTCAAATTTCCAAATCTATCTCTTGAGGGAATGTGAAATCTGATAGAATGTGAAGGGATAGCAAGAAAATTAATGTGTCTCTAGGTCATATTTTAAAATAATAGAAAGTCTTGCTATTTTGAAAGAAAGTGTAACCTAATTTATAGAGTGATCCTTAACTCTGGAAATACATCATAATTACCTAACAAACGTTGAAAGAATACTTTTATTTTCTCAAAGCAGGACTTTTGTTCCTGCAATGATGTAGTAACAGGGAATAGATGAAACCTTTCACCTTAACCTAGAAAACTGGACAAAACATATGAAAAAATTTTCAATCATTGAGGAATAGGAGCACAACATCATGAACCCTGAGAAAAGGGAAACAAAGGCTTATGAGTTCTCTGATTTCTGCCAGGAAGCATAGATGGGTACCTCAAGGGAGCTTGGTCGACTTGGTGAGTTGGGGACACAGAGACTGGTGTTCAAAAAGTCTAAGTAGATGGAAGTTGTGTGGAAGAGTTCTTGATATAAGGAAACATGTCCCAAAAGAGCTCCAGAAATCTGCATGAGGGGATTTGAATCTTTGTTTAAAAATAAGATGTGGGCCAGGCACGGTGTCTCACGCCTGTAATCCCAGTACTTTGGGAGGCCTAGGCGGGCGGATCAAGAGGTCAGGAGATCCAGACCATCCTGGCTAACACGGTGTAACCCTGTCTCTACTAAAAAAGAAATACAAAAAATTAGCCAGGCATGGTGGCGGGCACCTGTAGTCCCAGCTACTTGGGAGGCTGAGGCAGGAGAATGGCGTGAACCTGGGAGGTGGAGCTTGCAGTGAGCCGAAATTGCACCACTGCACTCCAGCCTGGGTAACAGAGTGAGACCCCCTCCAAAAAAAAAAAAAAAAAAGATGTTTACATATAGGATATAACCCCCCATAGGCTAATGAAAGTGTGACTGAAGAGTTATGGGCTAAACAGTTCCAGAACACATCAGGTAGAGTAGTATGTCCTTGTTGAGCACTTGGGATGCTCTAGATGCTCTAGAAGGGCCACACATTGGTAGTAGGGGCTAAACTCTCACAGAAGTAAAAAACACTCTCAGTAAAACCTATCCCTGGCACATACCAAAAAACAGGAAGATATAACCCAAAGCATGCCCCCAAACAGTCACTCAGGAAAGATAAACCTAAATGTGACAGAAAAGATAAAAAATAGTAGACAAGGAATCTGAACAGGTATTATAACTATGTTCAAGATTTAAAGAAAAAATGGGCACAGAAAAAAATGAGGATATATTAAAGAACCACATATAAATATAAACATGAATAATATATCTGAAGTGAAAAATAAATTCCTAGAGGCAATTAGCAGCCGATTAGGCAATAGAGAAGAGTTGATTAATAGAGTTGAATATATAGCAATTGGAACAATTCAAAATGAAGCCAAGTTAGGAAAAAATATAAAAAATAATTAATATATTCTCAGTACTCTGTTACAGTAACAAGCAGTCCAAAAACATGTATTTGAAGTTCCAGTAGAAAACACGTGAGAGAAAACAACAACAAAAAGAAATAATGACCAGGAAATGTCCAAATGATAAAACTGGAAACCCAGTGATCCAAGACACTCAAAACGCCCTAAAAGAACAAACAAAACCACATCAAGACCCATTGACATCAAATTCGTGAAAACCGATGATAGAAAATCTTAAAAAGCAGGAGAGAAACAATATCATACTAGGCACAGAGAAACAAATATAACTGCAGACATTTTCTAGAAACCAAGCCAGAAGACAACAGAAGAGTATATTCAAGTGCTGAAAAAAATGTAACCTGTCAACCTAGATTTCTATACTCAGTGAAATTTATTTTTCAGAAATAAAGGTAAAATAAAGACTTCAAAATAAACAAAGACAAAATTTGTTCTCGGCAGGTTTTGACTAAAAAATGCTACAATCTTCTTACAGAAGAAGATATAGGATAGTAGAAGACTTGGATATATACAAAGAAAAATGTCATTGAATAGCAATAAATATAACTAGTTATTTTTCTATTTTTATTCTGTTATGAGACATTTGACTGTTTAAAGCAAAATTATCTTGGACTTCATCATATGCAGAAGTAAAATGAAAAATAAGACAGGAAGAAATGGAATTGTAGAGTTTTCACATTATATGAAATAGTATGAAGGTAATTTTAATGGGTTAAATATGTACATGTTATACCTTAAGAGTCAATTAAATATGTGTTTCCAATAGGTCAACTTTGGATAAAATAGAAATACAATAAAATCAGTTATTCCAAAGAACAGAAAGAAGAAACAAACAACAGATGGGAAAATTTGGATATTAAGAGCAAGATAGTATATTTATACCTAATAGAGATTATAACATTGAAATATTATATGTACACTGCACATAAACTTTCCAATTCTAATTAACAGGAAGAGATTGTCAGACTGGGTTTAAAAGTAAAGCATGGAACACTATATCCTGTTAAAAATAACACTTTACAGCCAGGCACAGTGGCTCACACCTGTAATAGCACTTTGGGAGGCCAAAGTGGGGGGATCCCTTGATCCTAGCAGTTTAAGACCAGCCTGGGCAATATAGTGAGACCTTGTCTCTACAAATTTCTTTTTAATGAGCTAGGTTTGGTGATACGCACCTGTAGTCCCAGCTACTGGGGAAGCTAAGGTGAGAGGATAGCTTAAGCTGGGAGGTCAAGGCTTCAGGGAGCCAAGATTGTGCCACTGCACTCCAGTGTGGCAACAGAGTGAGGCTCTGTCTTAAAAAATATTAAACTTTAAATATAAAGGCAAAAACAAAATAGAAATAAAAGGACAAAAATACATACCACAAATCACGAATCATATTAGTGTTTGAGTGGCCTTGTTAATATCACACAAAATAGATTTTAGTGAAATAAATGTGAGAAATAAAAATGGATATCTGATAATTTTGTTCACTATTTAAGAAGGTACAAAAATCTAAAACGTATACATACCTAGGAAAAGCTTCAAAACACAAAGCAAAACCCCATAGAACCAAAAGAAGAGATAGAAAAATTGACAATTATTTTCATAGCTTTCATCACTTTACATTTAGTAAATGCTAGAAAAATTAGACAGAAACCAGTAAGTATAGAGAAGACCTGAACCAACACTATTAACCAACTCGACCTAATTGACATTTATAGTACCCTCTAGCCAACAACAGTGGGACACATATACTCAGTGGACACGGAACGAATCTACAATATAAACAATACGATATTGGGGTATATTTAATTTTCTTATATATTACAATAAGTCTATTCAAATGGGAGAATATTCATATACTTAGGAGTTGCATTTTTGAGAATACAAGAATAAAATGCCTGCCACTACAACCCAATGCATATGTATATAAAAGATGATAATCAGTTTATCTACTATACTGACTTCTTAGACTGAGAGACTGAGTCACCCGGTCCTGATACACAAGCACTGTTAGCCAATAAAAAGAAAACTATACATGTTAATCATTGTTTCAGGCAACCACTTCCAACTCATCCTTGCACTTACACACATACTATCGCAGATACTATCACATACTATGTTATACTATCACATAACATAGCTAGCCCCCACTGTCACTCAACTACCTTCCTGGACTCTGACCACACACAAATAAACACACACATTCAGACTCTATTCATGACATTGGGGTTTCAGCATCACTGAAAACTTTTGGCTTTGCTTGTCTTGGTTCTTTAGCTTTTAGTAAGGACTCTCCGTTTTAATACGTTATACCATTGTACCACCCACATGGACTAGAACTTTGCTACCCACTATATGACTCTCGGACCAGTAGCATTAGAATCGCCTAGAAGCTTGTAAATCTCAGAACCCAACTTCAGAATCTGCATTTTAGCAAAATCCCCAGTAAATTCTTATGTACATGACAGTTTGAAAAGCACTAGGTTAAAATATAAGCTTCATGAAAATGTGAGTTTGTATATATTTGTATATGTTGGTGCTATGGTCTGAATATTTGTGTGTGTTGGCGCTATGGTCTGAATGTTTCTTTATACCTCTGAAACGTATCTGATAGAATCCTCACCGCTAATGTGATGGTCCTAGGAGGTGGGGCCCTTGGGAGGTGATTAGGTCACTGGGGTACACCTTCAAAACTTGAATTAGTGTTCTCATAAAAGATGCCCAAGAGAGACTCATCACCTCTTTCCCCATCTGAAGACGCAGTGAAAAGACTGCTGTCCATGAAACAGTAACTGGATCATTCCTGGACATTGAATCTGTTGGCATCTTTATCTTGGAATTCCAGACTCCAGAACTGTGAGAAAAAAAAATACCTGTTTTCTACAAGCTACACTGTTTATGGTATTTTGTTATAACAATTTAAATGGACTAAGAAAATCTGACAGAAAATATATCTCTTTTTATTCATTATTCCCGTTAGATACTAGAGTTATCATTACATAGTCATACTCAATAATCATGCAGAAAGTGAATATAGAAAAAGGGGAAGGAATAAAGAAATAAATTTAAGGTAACTGTAGGCTATATATATATAGTCAGAAAGGTAAAGGAGCCTGATAAATTTTATTTAAAATGACTGAATTTGTAGAAAGGCTGAAGCTTATCAAATCAAACAAGAGTGAATAAGATTTTCAGTGCAATTTTTTAAGCAAATCCTATTAAACATAGCAGGATTTTTTTTTTTTTTTGGAAAAAGATGGGGTCTTGCTACATTGCCCCAGCTGGACTCAAACTCCTGGGCTCAAGTGATCCTCCCATGTCAGCCTCTTGAGTAGCTAAGAGTGTAAGCACTCACCACCAAGCCTCGCTGAATTATTATCTTATGACTAAAATACCTTTATTTAACTGTTACTTATGTATTTAATAAAACTACAAATCCAGTTTATATTTTATATATGTATGCTGTATATGTAAATGCTAACTTTATGCTATAATCTATTTTTTCCGTGATGAAGAAACTTAGAGCACTTGAAGTTTGATTTTTCTCTTACTTTGTTAAAGAGCTATCATCAGAAAAAAATGAATGATTCCTGCCGATATAAGTCACTCTAAGTGTTATTGGAAAAATTGAACAAGAAGATGTCAAATCTTAATTCCATTGAAGTTGTTTAATAGTACAGTGTGTTTAACCACTATAAGTTAAATAGTTTTTTTCTCATAATCACATTTTGTTTTGATATGTGTTCTGCAGTCAAATACTACTCTAATTCATTGTGAAATCGCATTGATGTTCTATTTGCTGACCCATTTTCCAGCATGACTCATCCACTTACAATTCTCTTTTCAAATTATTTCTATCAGGTTTCACCTATATCACTCTTTCAAACATATTCAGACAAATGTTCTTGAGTAGTTGATAGAGTTTAAGGTAATTCATTTGAGAATGAAGATGTGGATCCTATACTTAAAGTAGTGCACTATTTTGGACTCATGGGGAAGAAACTGCAATACTAACACATTTTTTGTCAGCAATGAAAACAAAGTGTTTTTTAAAAAATATAAAAATATATACTTTTTAAAAGTATAAATATTTATAATTATATAATAATCACACATTACTTATTTATCAATAATTATGTCCTTATTGCTTTTCAACCTTTTGAATCAACCTATAGCCAAAACACAGGTTAGCTAGTTATGACAAGGGAGTGAGGAAAAATGTAGAAAAGAGGTAAATAAGTTTCAAGTACAGTATTTAAAGGCATATAATGGAAGATATAAAACTGCATTACTGCACATTTTAAGGAAAGGGAAGAGAAAAAGTGGAGGCAGTATAAGTCAGCTAAATCCTCATCTTTCATGCAGATTCCATAGATAACCACTACAGTTAAAAGAAAATGTACTTAAAAATTTTTAGTCATTCTACGTTATTTTATTTTTAGTCTGTGACATATTACAAATATCTATAACGTAATAAAAATGTGCCACTTATATAATGCTAGCTAAATAATCAAATTAGTTTAGAAATATCCATGTATAAGTAAGGATATAAATGAATCTCAAAGAGTTGGTGGTGAGAAGTATTTCAGAGTTACAGTTCTATGTTATCTGAATTTCTTCTAATACTCTACCAAAGTCTTAGGACTAGATGTAGTTTTACATGAAAGCCCACCGTCAAATCTTTCCTGTGTGTTAGATACTGAATAAATATTTCCTAGATGAACAAAAGAATGCGTGGATAGAAAAAAGAAAAGGAAAAGAAGTGAAGGTAATGGAGAAAAAAGAAGTAAGCAAGAAACGGAGAAAGGAATCAGACAGGCTTGGAGAATTCAAGATAAACTTTCTTATTTTGTAATTTTTTTTCACTGTTATATAGAGGAAAATAATTTAAAACCTAGGTGAGGTGAGGAGGGATATAGTTGCTGCTTGTAGAGTCTGGCAGCAGAGCTCTGTAATGAACACGTATCTTCTCACTGCTGCCAAATGTTTTAAACATCAACATTAGAATGTTCATATACTTTATACATGCATACATTTGTTAAAAATGCTAAGCAATATTTTACTGAATCAGACCATGTTCCTCATGCTGGTTACATCTATCAGTTTGAATTGCTTTATTTTCTCACCTCAAAATTCCTGTTAAATATGTGGCAACTGTGGTGAATAGTTTCTTCATTCTTTACATTTTTGTTGCCCAGAAAATGTTCAAATGTTCACTTGATTTCTCATTTGAGTAAAAAAGTAAACACAAAATGACTTCAGTGAAAAAGTAAACATCTTTATATAGATGGTATATTAGTCAGGGTTCTCTTAGAGGGACAGAACTGATAGGAGATATATATATATATATAATATATATGTATACACACGTATAAGTATACACACACAAGTATATATATGTGTGCGTATATATATACATATATATGGGAGTTTATTAAATAATATGTATATAAAAAGGGGGAGTTTATTAACTATTAACTTACATGATCACAAGGTCGCACAATAGGTTGTCTGCAAGCTGAGGAGCAAGGAGAGCCAGTCCGATTCCCACAGCTGAAGAACTTCGAGTCTGATGTTCAAGGGCAGGAAGCATCCAGCAAAGGAGAAAGATGTAGGCTAGGAAGCTAGGCCCATCTCTTTGCTTCACGTTTTTTCCCCTGCTTTATATTTGCTGGCGGCTGATTAGGTCTTGCCTACCTGATTAAGGGGGGTCTCCTTCCCCATCCCCTGACTCAGATGTTAATCTCCTTTGGCAACACTCTCACAGACACACCCAGGATCAATACTGCATCCTTCAATCCAATCAAGTTGACACTCAGTATTAACCATCACAGATGGAAGGTTTTTATCAGGTTATATTGTCAAAATGAGAAATTATTTTCAATATGGAAAGCCAGAGAAAAGAGTATCTTTGAGAATTCTTTCCCCTTTGCTAGTCCTAGAAGTTTTGGTTTATTTAATTGTATTTGTGTTGAACTGAAGCCATCATTTACAATGATTTTCTACTTGTTTATGTGCTTAATCCTATGCCTAGCCTAGTGTATTTTCTTTTAATATTGTGATTGGATTTCAGCCACATCAAAGACAGTTCAACACCCAAAATAAGTACTTTGTTGCTATAGTAGGGCTACATTGATTTGGTATTAAATACATTCACTTGAATTAGTTTGTACAATTTATTTTCTACCCTGTGTATCACCTCTTCCTTAACCACAGGTTTGCAAATAAAAAGCCAAGGGAAAGACAAAATCATTGTTCTGTACTTAATTTATATATTCTAAGTATTCTTAATTTTTCTCATCCAAATTGTTTGCTTATAATTCATATTTACATTAACATATATTTTTACATGTAGGCTCTTGAATATATGAATTGACTTGCATTTTTATGTTTATATTTAATCAAGCACCTGTAGTGTGTTTGAGAGATGTAGAGGCTGATCCCTCAAAAGGCAAAATACACGGCCACAAGGAAGCAGTAACACATAACAAATTTTATTTAAACAGCACATTGACAGGATGACATGAAGGAGCAGAAGAAAGTCTATCATAGCACAAAAACTTCAAGAGGCATCAGTCTGGGGCCATGATCCAGAAGGCGAGGAGAACTCATAGGCAGCAGAACTCACAGGTAGAAAGATTGGAGCGAGAGCTCATATATTTTGATGGGAAGTCTTTGGGTCAGAGTATTCCAAATGACGTATAACAGGCTTAGGTCTATTATAACCCCATAAATTATTTTATCTATGGCTAGCAGATGTTGGGTGCAGTTTGGCTGAGTATGCAAAGCAGGCAGACTCTAATGGCTTAAAAATTTTGTTTAAAGAGGCTATATTTAAAGCAATTGGATTGTTGACATTTTGAGTTTGGTATCAGTGGGCTTTTAAGCCCACCATAAACAGAAGGTCAACATACTAGAACCATCTTTAACCCATTTATATAACAGCACACATAAAAGTAGTTGGTACATAATAAAGCTTCAATATTTAATTGCTGCCAAAAGTAAATTGTTAATTATAAATCAGAAAATCATAACTATGCCTTTTATGATTATAAAAGAATCTGATTTTATTCAATTGAATTCTTTTCAGCTATAATATTACAAAGGAAAGGAAACTATTAGGAAAAAGAAAAAAGTATGAAATGTAAATATCATTTTAAATGGTTTAGGTCTTTGAGAAATGTCTAAGTTTCAGACGTTGTTTACCATAATTGTTCTAACTGAATGAAAATGATGAAAATAGCATTATATTCCTGTGCTTTAAAAAATGAGGTCAAAGCTTGGCACAGTGGCTCATACCTGTAATTCCAGCACTTTGGAAGGTCAACATGAGAGAACTGTTTGAGCCCAGGAGCTCCAGACAAGCCTGGGCAGCATAAGGAGGCCCCGTCTCTAAAAAATTAAAAATTAGCTGGTGTGGTGATGCAAGCCTGTAGTTTCATCTACTCCGAAGGCTGATGTAGGAGGACTGCTTGAGCCCAGGAGTTCTAGAGTGTCATAAGTGGTCATGCTACCGCACTCCAGTCTGGATGACAGAGATCCTGTCTCAAAAAATAAAAAGTGAAAATAAAAATTCAGGTGAAACTTTCATTTCCTCTCTATTTAATACTTAGATTTCTCAACTAAAAATCCTACTACTGAGTATCTATCCAAAGAAAAAGAAATTGTTTTATCAAAAAGACACCTGCACTGGTAAGTTTATTGTGGCACTATTCACAATACCAAGTCATGGAGTCAACCTAAGTGTCCAACACTGGTGGATTAGATAAAGAAAATTTAGGACATATACATCTAGGAATACCACACAACCATAAAAAATGAAATCCTGTTCTTCACACCAACAAGGATGCAGCTGGAGAACATTATCCTAAGTGAAATAACTCAGAAACAGAAATCAAATACCACAAGTTCTCACTCATAAGTGGTAGCTAATCAATGGGTACACATGAACAGAAAGATGGAAGCAAAAGACCCAGGGAACTCCAAAAAAAAAAAAAAAAAAAAAAAGTTGGAACGGGTATGAGGGTTGAAAAACTATGTAGTAGGTGCTATGTTCAATATTTGCATGATGGATTCACTAGAAGCCCAAACCCCAGCATTACATAATATACCCCCTGAACTTGTACCTCCTGAATCTTAAAAAAAAATAAATAAATAAAGTAGTATCAATGGAAATTAAGACCACAAATATTTAAGTTCCAAATCTTACAGATAACTGTACAAGATTACTATTACACTATGTAAAGATAACTATTACAATATGTATTCTTTTAAGATTACAATATGTAGTTTTCTTAAAGATTCAATAAAATTTATGACTAAATTGCTTTTCTGTATATAAAGATTCATTTGTTCACAATAATTAAGGGTTTTCAGTCTATCAAAATGTTATAATAAATTTATTTCATCAAAATTTTTGTTTTTCTCCATTTCAGCAATCATGAGCCTGTTTTCAAATACAATTTAGGGGATTTCTCTTTAATGCTAACATAAACTTTGGTTCTATATGAAGGTTTTCTGTCAACCGTCAGTTTTTCTTCTCCACCGTTCGATCATATGTCTTTGTATTTAGTGCGACATGAGATTCATAGCTTGTATAGTATCATTCTTTACAATTGTTTTTTGTATTGATAGATAAGGACTGGCTACTACCATTTTTTTTTTCTGGTGGTTTTGTTTGTCTTCTCCTCCTTCCTTTCCCTCTTTCTTTCCTTCCTGTCTTTCTTTGGGTAAAAGTGACTTTTTTCCTGGTAGTATGTTTTAATTTCTTGATTTTTATTTTTTGCTATTAACTGCTATATATTTTATGTAATTTTTATAGGAAGACTATAACTAGAAATTTTAATTATGTCAGGATTTTTTTCTATTCCTAGACCAATGGCAAGATATAGCAATATTAAATACCATTTAAGTTTTTTAACTGACGTATTCTGATTAAAAATAGTAATAATCCGTAGCATTTTTACATGTACACCTAAGATTTCTTTGACATTTTAACTCATAAGAAAATTGCATATTTAATTTTATCTAAATAACCATAGTCTTCACATTTCTTTAAGAATTTTAATGACCTAAGATAACATGCAAAGTAACTTTGCAATAATCTAATACAACACATTTTATATTTTGAGAGGACTTACTCTAAATTTCTGGATCCTAATATAACATCTAAATATAACATCTTGCTCAATAAATAATATAACATCTTGCTCAATCTAAAAAATTTTATCTAGTCATAATGCAGGGCCAATTGTGTCCATTCAAAGTGAAAATAGAAATAAAACATTTATTCGTCTTGATTCTTGGTTATTTTAATCTCATGGGGTGTGTAAGCCATTTTCTGGTCTTTTTTTATGGTGATGAATGAAATGAAAAATTAATGCTATGAAATTCCATAAACATGTCTGTCTCTTTTTGGAGTTCACTATATCGCATTTGAATCTGTAGGATCCCTCAACTAACTCATTTCAAAGATATTTCAAAGATGTTCCTTCTCTCAGTATGTACTCTACCTAATAATCCTCCAGAAAGTCTGATAAAGCCAAATACATACAAATTCTGACATTTATAAGTCTACAATACATGTTTTCAATTAATCCAAAGAAAAGAAATAAAAATAGCCTTAGTGCTATAATATCTAGTTATATTTTATAAAATGCACTCCCAATGATAAACTCTATTGAGTTACTTTATCAAATCAGTTATATATTATCTATAGTTTAAAATATATTATCATGTAATACATATTATTTTAAATGTAGTTTTATAAACTTGTTTTTGTGTATCCATATAAAATATGCACAATATTAAAATCCACTTGTAATGGAACACATTTTGTCATGTACTTTTAATTTTTAATTTTTATGGGTACATAGTAGGTATTTATATATTTGTAGGGTACACAAGCTATTTTGATGCAAGCATACAATGCATAATAATCACATCAGGATAAATAGGGTATTCATCACCTCAAGCATTTAGCATTTCTTTGTTTTACAAACATTCCATTATACTTTTAATTAAAATATACAATAAATTATTAACTGTTGTCACTCTGTTGTGCTATCAAATACTAGACCTTATTCATTTTATCTAACTATGTATTTCATGAGAGCACATGTGAATCTCTTCCACCAGAAACAATAAAAATGGATCAAAAGGGAATATTCAGTAATTAACTTGTCTCAGTGAGTATATGCTCAATTCAAGTTGGGCCTTTTATTTAACTTAGAATAGCTGATACTTTTTTTATTTAAAGTTATTTGCTATATATTAAAAATATAATTAATATTGCATTAAATATATTCAATAGTTTTTATTGCATAGCTGCCATAAAAAAATGTTTTTTAATTAGGCATAATTGGCTCTAAAAATCAAAATGCAATATTGGCAATAACTACGAAGGACATTATATATAAAATGAGAGCAATATAACTTCTATGTATAAAAGGATATAGTAAGATGAAAAAGTATAGTTGAGATTTTACATTCTTGTAATGTAGATAACAGTGTTCTTATTTCTTTATGACCCATGAGTCCTTATAATACATTCTTTTTCATGTATTTCATTTATTTTACTTCATTATTCTCTCACATGTTCTCACAGTATTCTCTCTCACTGCTAACAACCAAAATATAGATTAGAAATAAACTGTGTGGTCCAACACCTAATATATAGTTTATGCATAAAAACTTGAATGGAGATGTGTTAGTCTATATCATTCTAGATTTACATCCTACTTGAAGTGATGACATGTAATGGGAATACATTCTCTGATCCTTTATGACTAAAGAGAAATAAGTTGCCAATCAGCAACATGCTACATAAGCACTCATCTAACAAAAGTTTGGGAAAATAGGTGTAAATATTTCCTATGTTCAAAAAAGGAGAAGAAAAAGCAAGTAAGAAAAATGGTAGTTAAATTTCAACAAAAATGTTGTTCAATATTTCCTTCCTAGGAAAATACTGTCTGTAACTTTTGATTACAATGAGAAAAAATATTTGATTTTATTTGTTAATTGGGCTGTACAAAAGTCTGCTTACTTATTAAATTTTTCTAATTTTATGACTTGATGAATATAAATTTTAAAACAACCTGATCTATTCTCAGAAATTTAATTCAAGTATTGTTTATTTTCCAATAAAGGATGTGAATTTTCAGTGCTCTCCTCTGCTCTTCTATATGTCATATTTAATTTCATTTCTGTTTTCTATTTCCTTGACTGCATTTATCAGTCCAGTGCTTGATACAGGCAAACAGCCCTGACATTTAAAGCAGAAGAGCTTGAATACCATGAACTTGGCATTCAGAATTACATTTTCCGGCTGGAAATTGCTGACCCTAACATCTTTCTAAGCATTAAACCATTTATTTAGAAAATCTTATCAGAAAGCAATATTTACTTCTTTGAATCCTATCCTGTTTTCAAACAGTACAAACTAATACCAACTAAATATTTTAGTTATAGCATTATTTAAACACAGACTTATGTGGTTCAAAACAATAAAACATTCATTTTCATTTAGTTAACTCTATACTTGCAAAGATATTACTATTTTTTCAAGTAAATGTAAAATTATAATATGCCTAGTTTAAATTAATTCATTTATTTAGGAATATGCACATTTAGGGTATTCAACATTCTCAAAATTAAAGAAACCATTGTTTTTGCCACCATGTGATAATGTTAGATATTATCATCCAATTTTATATGCAACAGCAAATGTTATGTTTGCTGTTTAAAAATTATTTAAAGGATCCAATTATGAAGAAACAATTATGTTCAACAGGTGAAGTGAATTACTTTAATTTACTAGAGATAACTATTTAGTTTGTCAAGCACTCTATAATCAAACAAATTCATGCTTTAGGTGAGAAAATGTAAAATGTAATGAACATGAAGGAAAGCTTTCTCCCATCTGTTCCTACTTTTTGTTGTTGTTGTTATAATGTATAAATGTGAGAGATCTGTCTAGTGAAATGCAGAAGAAAGTAAAATTTGTGACTACACTTATTTAAAATTACTAAATGAATTTTACTACATAACCTAGACACATTAACTCTATGAATGCATTTTATTTAGAATTACTGAATGTATTGAAATAAAATAATATATATTCAAAATCAAAATAATTATTTTATAAAATATGCAGACTATATTTGTACTGCACTGAGGGAACAAAAGCATTTTTAAACAGCAAGCTTCAGTTTTAAAGATAGTACATTTTCTTCTGCTGGGTGGTAATACATTTATTCTGTTCTTAAGCTTTTCTGGAATTTAAAGCAGTGCTTATATATTAATTTAGATCCTTTACAGTGAATTAGAGGACCAACTTAAGAATTTAAGTATAATTAAAAGTTTGTCATAATCAGTAATAAGATAATATCACCCAAATCCTACTCCCTTTTTTTTTCAGGGGTCTCAAAACACTAGTAGGACCAGATGACTATTTCTATGATGTGTCTCTCTATTCAGATGTCTTGTTACCTCCCAAAGTAAGGCCCCTAGCCCGGCAGCATCAGGTCACCTGGGCACTAGCTAGAAATGTGAACTTTTAGGCCTCAGATGATTGTGATACAGGCTTAATTATGAGAACCACTGGCTTAGAACAGTTTCTACCATTCTTCTGTAATCATTCCCAAATATAGCTCTAAAAATTTCCCTGAGATATTTGAATAACCATAAGTTACTTCTTAGAATCACAGTTTCTCTTAGAAAAACAAAACAAAAAAAGCTTAATTGTCTCAAAAATTAATTTGTTACATTCTATGATAAACCTACACATGAGTTTTCATTTTATTTTGTTGTACTTCAGATGCTAGTACAGGTTCATGCCATGTAAGTGTCATAGTGAGAATATGATTTTTACTTACACTGAGATTCAAGCTATGACACTGTTTATTAGCAGTCTGACCTGAAAGTTCTCCTAATAGTACTTTTCCAACTAATAGAAAGGAAATAATGATATCCAAGGGTTTTTTGAAAATTAAGTAATTCTTGCAAATTGTTTGGAACAATACAGGTGACCAATATGTGATCGTCCTTTTCCTATGTTTTTCTACCTATAACTTCTCCCTTTTCTTGCAAATATTTGTGTTTAATTACAAGCTGAGCCCCATCTTTCTAAAAGGTATAGCTTAATTCCAGCAGCCTTCATAAGTATAAAGTATGCCTTTGGTTATCGCCCTCTGAATATGTAGCACTTCCTCAAATTCTCCTATTTTATCCAATTATATTCATACATGTATGCAAATTTGCCTGGTCTATTTTGTTTTTCTATGGAAGTATCAGAACTCGAGAGTAGAAAGTATCATTAGCTTTCCCTCTTCATGCCACATTGTCTAGTTAAAAGCTTCCCAGGTGTCATGCACTTGTTGAGAGCAGACTACCTCCTCTTACCTGTACAACATTCTTTTCATCTTGGAAGAAAAAAATACTTAGGCATTGTGATAATTTGTCCTTCATTTAGTTCTACATTAATACAATTTCCAAATACTAATTTTACTTTTTAAATTTTAATTACTACTTTCATTCTGCTTTCACAAAGATCAAAGTTATTTTTCTTACCTTGGTTTAAGTTTTTAGTAAACCTGAATAAATTATTAACCATGCACTTTTTTTGTGTGTTCTACAAAATCAAAAAACTTTGCCACTAAAGCTTATTTATTGCCTGTCACACATACTTGAAGATATTTTCTTATTCCACAATTTTCTGAAGTCATATTTAATATTGTCAGTGACTGTGTAATCTAACGTTCCTTTTTCTCTTTAGTTCCAACTTTACATTATGTTCTATTGGACTTAATAGTAAAATGGTTTTCTGTCTCATATTTCCTAATGTCTATTTTTTCCTTCAGGACCATTTTTATGGCCTGGATTCACTCACTATTTCAGTCATCTCCAATACATATTAAAGCAGAAATCCATTAAATAAGTACAGAGGACACTTGAGAGGGTTTTCTTGAATTTTATGATCAAGAAAATAATGTCTAAAATTTCAAGAAATATATTCTTGTGAAATAAATCCATGTACTATGTTCTGTTATTAAATACTTTTTCTTTTGCAACATTATTCTGAGTATATAATTAAGAACAAAAAAGCAGATACAGCTAATCATCACATAATTGACAAAAATAAAAGAAACACATATATGTAATAAGTTTCTCTAAAAAAAGCTAGAGAGCATATAGAGAGCATATTGAAAGATTGGGTTCTTAATTACATGCTAACAATGAAGATTTATCAAGAAATACATAGAACACACAGTCTTCCACAATGGTTGAACTAGTTTACAGTCCTACCAACAGTGTAAAAGTGTTCCTATTTCTCCACATCCTCTCCAGCACCTGTTGTTTCCTGACTTTTTAATGATCACCATTCTAACTTGTGTGAGATAGTATCTCATTGTGGTTTTGATTTGCATTCCTCTGATGACCAGTGATGATGAGCATTTTTTCATGTGTGTTTTGGCTGCATAAATGTCTTCTTTTGAGAAGTGCCTGTTCATATCCTTCGCCCACTTTGTGATGGGGTTGTTTTTTTCCTATAAATTTTTTTGAGTTCTTTGTAGATTCTGGATATTAGCCCTTTGTCAGATAAGCAGATTGCAAAAATTTTCTCCCATTCTGTAGGTTGCCTGTTCACTCTGATGGTAGTTTCTTGAAGACAGTGTGGCGATTCCTCAAGGATATAGAAGTAGAAATACCATTTGACCCAGACATTCCATTACTGGGTATATACCCAAAGGATTGTAAATCATGCTGTTATAAAGACACATGCACACGTTTGTTTATTGCAGCACTATTCACAATAGCAAAGACATGGAAACAACCCAAATGTCCATCAATGATAGACTGGATTAAGAAAATGTGGCAAATATACACCATGGAATACTATGCAGCCATAAAAAATGATGAGTTCATGTCCTCTGTAAGGACATGGATGAAGCTGGAAACCATCATTCTCAGCAAACTATCACAAGGACAAAAACCAAACACCACATGTTCTCACTCATAGGTGGGAAATGAACAATGAGAACATTCGGACTCAGGAAGGGGAACATCACACACTGGGGCGTATCATGGGGTAGGGGGATGGGGGAGGGATAGCATTAGGAGATATACCTAATGTACATTATGAGTTAATGGGTGCAGCACACCAACATGGCACATGTATACATATGTAACAAACCTGCACATTATACACATGTACCCTAGAACTTAAAGTATAATAAAAAAAATAATAGAAAAGAAAATCCAAACACACAAAAAAAGAATTACATAAAACAAAATACTTCAAATGATTTGGACTGTCACTATATTGCTTTTATATCAGTCAATACAAATTTCTGTAATAATGACATTTGAACAGATTCTGAAGGAAGTGTGCAATTGAGCCATGTGAATATCTAGAAAGAAAACATGTTGGGTGAGGGGAGAGCAATTGCAAATGCTCCGAATGGAGTATGCCTGTTGAAACTGTAGAAGTACAAAGAGGCAAGAGTGTCTGAAAGGCAGTGAGCAAGTGAGGATATTGGGAAATGAGATTCAGCAGATAGCAGGTTCTAGCTCATGAAATTCCTTAAAGACATAAGGACTTTGGAATTTGACTAAGATTCAAAATTATTAGAAGGTTTCGAGTAGAGCCATGACATGATGTTACATATATTTTAGTAAGATTATATTAGGAGAGAATAGGTTTAAGGGCAAACTGGAGGCAAATGGATCAGTTATGAAAACTGATTCAAAGGTAAAAGAGAAGATGATCATGGAAGAACCTGGTGGTAGTGATGTAAACTGTAAGTAGAGACTAGTTTTTGAATAAATTTCAAGGAAACATCAACAGGATTATTTTGTGGAATAGATATGAAATGAGGAGATTCAAATATGACTATAAGTGTTTGGCTCAAGAAAAATATGGACTTATTTACAGAGAAGAATCCAGGAAAGGGAAGTTGTTGATCCAGATGTGGGGGGTTGGGCAGGTGGTAAGTATTCAAGTTTTTTACATATTCTGATAAGATGTCCATTTTACATATATTATAAATAAAGATGTAGAGTTTTCAATTAGCTATGTTAGTGTGGACTTGTGAAGTAAAAGCTGATTCCTAGGCTGTATGATAATTATTTTAAACACAATTATTAGCCCTCCATTATTTAAGTGGGTTACCAGTTTAGAATATTTATTTTTAGGGCTTAGGAGTCCTGAATTTTGAATATAAAATTATTTTGCATATCAAGACATCCCGAGAGTTCTTTACAAATGCCAAGTGAATGAAATAGGAACCCAATTAGTCCCTGAATGTGACAGACACGTAGAAGTAGGCCCTCCCTAAAGAAGCTGTCAGGCTTTTTAAAAATGAGAAAAGACCCATCATACCAAGTATTTTTTCCTATTTTTGTAGAAATTCTGAAAGTAGAAAAATGTGTACTAAGTCAAAAATAAATTAGGCAAGTCTGTTTATTCTACCACTGTATCTACTATTATAAATGAAACCTGGTGAGTAATTAATACACTTAGCAGAATGATTATTTATGTCCTGAAGCAAACACATTTCAATGTTTTAAATAACGCACAGAGAAAAATCACATGATTTCTCTGTCAAATGCCACCTTTCTGATATCAAAATAGTTAAATTTTTATACAAATATGATTATAACTTTTCTTAGAAATATTTCCAAGTTTGTATGCCATCTTGTACTAGATATATGTAAGCTCATTCTATAAATTTTAAGTATGTATATGTAATTTTCTAAAATATATTCATGGTATGTCTTTGATCCTTGCATTCAGTATATCAGAGTGTACAATGTGGAGCTATCCTGTACCAATAATTCCATTGTTACCTTATTCCTATCTATAAAACATATTAAAATCTGTTTCTCCAACTGTATGCAGCCAATGTAACTTCCATAATAAGATAAATATTGTCAAACATCAACCCGTCATGTTATAAATTATAGTGGCAAACTTCAAATGGTGTTCCTTACATTTTTCAGATAATCTCGTTAAATTACATTGAATAAATGTTCTACTTAGCTGCTTGGAAAAGTGGTACAGAATTTTTAAGTCTACTTATCTCTGTTTTACACATTATGAAAAGATTTTTAAAGGTAGATACATTTTGTTTTGACTTAATTTGAACATGTATATCTAGATATAAAACATCTAAATAAGAATATATACATTTATAGATATAAACAATACCATAATCCTGATATAACTTGCATTTCAGCTTATACTTACAAGTTCTGTATCTTTTACTGAACTCTAAAGTATTGCCTTAGAAGATGTATGATTCATCAGTTTTGGGACTCTGCATTATATATGCCTAACTACAGTTCAAACTTAGAGGACGTTTGCAACATATTTTATGTTTTGAATTTTAGCTCAAATTCTATTCATGGATGATACATGTTTGCTTATGAATTAATAAAATAAAACTCATTTACGTGCAGCCATTCAGTTCTACCATGGTTGTTCGATCACAATTTGCATTTCTAATTAATCATATTTAAGCACATAGTGAAAAGCCTAGCCATGTGTATTAAAGTCAGGTTTGTGAGTCATATTATTCTATAGGGCGTACATGGTTATTCTTTATAAGGGAAGTCAATTGCACAAAATTTTCAACTTAAAGAATAAAAAAGGAAATATATCTTCAACTATATTTAGATATCCATACCGTATTCTCTCCTTTGAGTCTTAACTGAATCTCAAGTAAAGAAAATCAGCATTTTCAAATGGAAAAGTACCTGTTAATATCCGAATAGCATAACTTTAAACTTTCAAAGTAAATTATGTAAATATACGACAGCTAAATGTGTGGCTATTTTTTCAAAAAGAGTAGAGCCAATGATTCAAGATATAGACACTATTTTCTAGTTCATATTTTTGTTAGTTTTATGCTAATTAGAGATGAAGACCTTAATGCTAAAATTTTGTATTTAAAAATTCCCTCACTTTACACTGAATATTTATGATACATTTTTTCTTGTAAATCTGTGTGTGTGTGTATGTGTGTATATGTAGACAGTAAAATATATATACATTGCTGTTGCTCTTTTACGTTTCTTTGGCTGTTCCTCAACTAGTTTTATATATCTGTTGACTACTTAGTTATCCTTCTAAGAAATAAGTTGCTTAAGGAAACTTCCTGTATTCTAAGACCACGAAGTATGTTATAATTTATTCTAATACCTTTATAATACTGTTTCTTAAATTTCTTTAACTGCTTTCAATTTATTGACATTAAGTCATTCAGAATATTCCATTATTACACTTTTATCTTTAGTGCCCATCTTATCTTTCATTCCTCATATCAGTGGGAGTTTTGGGTTTTGTTTCCCCCCAGTTTTGCAGGTCAAATAAGGACTCATACTAAGCTGTCCTTCTATTTCAGTTCTAGGGAGACCATAATAAACTCATTACTGCCAAATATCCCTGAACTCCAGTCTGGTTCCTGCTTGATCCATGCTGTTCTTTACAATCATTACCTTGTTTGTGGTAGTTAAGTGCTGCCCCCAGAACTCTGCTTTTCTGGGAGCTCCTACTAACAATTACAGCAGGTTGCCCTTTTTAATGGTAATGTCAGCTATTCTTCTATTGTCAGCTATTATAAATATTTTTGAGGATTTGTGAACTCCTTCACCAATGGATTTTCCCATGCCCTCTCAGTACTAAAGGGATGAGTAAGTGAGTCAAACATAATAAATTTACTTTAGCATTTCTAATGCCCAAAGACTTTGGATTCATGTCTCTGCCTCAGGAAAAGAAGATCCTGGCATCTTAACCTGTTTAACATAGGCCACAAGTTTATTCCAATTTCCCATAAACCAATCAAGAATGTGGTTAGCAGCCCTCACAGCCATTTATGCAAGAACACAACGTCCTGATCCTCTGGAAGTGCAAATGCATCTTTCTGACCTAACATTACAGAGGCATTTTTTCGATCTGGACCTCAGAGATTTCTATACTGAGTTTTAGATAACATTATAATGTATTACTAAATATTTATTAGTAATATTGGCAATATGTCCTCTATTATTCATTTATATTTTTACATTTGTTTCAAGTCAAAATCATAAGAGTATTGAGATTAATGCCATCATAAAGCTGAGTGAGGCGGTGTCAAAAGATAAATTCATGTTTCTGGCTGTTAATATCAATGTGAAGATATGCTTGATGTTGGCATAATCTTATCTGCCTTTCGGCACAGTGCTGTCTTTGGATTCTCACCTTCCCCGACTTCTTAGTTTCAAATTTGTCTTCGTAATGTGTTTCTTCCTTCAATCCAGATCCTGCATTTGATTACTGAGATTTTTGTCTTGTTAAATGTTGCTATCCTCTGGGACACAACCTCTAGATGCCCACTGGTTCACAGGTATTTTATCTTGCTTTTTCTTAGTAACAGGAAAAGTGTATTGGATTAAACTTTTATGTGGATGTGTACTTCTTAAGCCTTATGTTCTTGCATTAACTTCCTCTTAATGTCAAATCTATAGTTCAACTGAGATGGATTTGCTTAACACTCATTCAAAATAGCATCTGGATAAGTCTCCCTGTACTTTTATTTCCTCTGAAAGAAATAATCATTAGATTGGGTTTACTACCCAGGAATATAAGTCAGAAGTTGACATAAAACAACAAAACCCTAATAAATGCCAGTGCATTTTAATCCATTTGTACTACTATAACAAAATATCAGAGACTGGCTAATAGGTAAAGAAGATAAATTTATTTTCTCACCATTTTGGAGGCTGGGAGATCCAAAATCAAGGTGCTGGTAGGCTCAGTTATGTGGTGAGGGGCATTTTCTGTTTCCAAGATTGCATCTTTCTATGTCCTCTGAAGGAGAGAAAAGCTCTATCCTTATATAGCACTAGGCAGAAGAGCAAGAGAGCCAAAGGCTACATGAAGTCTCTTATAAGATCTTTAATCCCATTCATGAAGGAGAAGCCCTCAGGGCTTAGTCACCACTTAAAGGCCCTCACCTCTCTTTTTTTTTTTCTTTAGTTTAAAATGAAGAAAGATAAAGTTTATTCTAAAAGTGAATTCCAAAAGTAAGGAATATGGGAATATAAAATATTAGAACAGCTTTTAAAATGTATTATAAGGAAACACAATACTGATATAATATTCAGCGCAAGTTAAAAAATTCAAGTATAAATTATGTTTCATGTTAGTTTAAAAGGATAACATATTAACACATTTATTAAGAGAGAACCTATGAAAAAATAAGGAAGAACTAAGAGTATGGCTAGTAACAGGCCACAGTATAGAAATTCAAGAGAAATGAATGAAGGGATTGCAGTATTCCAGGGGAATGGGTAGTATAGAGTTTGAATTCTCTGAAGAAAAAAAAAGCAGGGTGGTGGGATAGAAGGTGGGGCAGAGAATTAGGCCAGGAAAATTGAAAGGAAGGTGTTCAACAGGTACTACAAAGGAAGCCTTATTATGATACTTAACACTTAAAGCTAGTTCTACAACTGTGGAGAAGCTGGTAAAATGGCTTATAGGAAGGAGTATATAAACAATGCAAATGCTTAGAATTGAACTTATGATTATTAAAATAAGCCATTTAGAAAGTTCATAACAAAAAATTAAGTGCTTTATATTCTTTAAACAATCATGTTCTTAAAAACAGTATAAAAGAAAGAAGAGATGAGTGTTGTATCGGTCTGCCCTTATTTGATTTGCCTAAAGAAAATCTAAAGTATTATGTCCATTATGTTAATCTGATGACTTATCTGGGGAGAAGATATTCACTGTAATGTATTGTTTTTTCCTTTTCTTAAAAGGTTAACATTTTCGAGGTCCAACCCTCAGACCCTGACCTGGCGACACATGAGAGACCTACACTGACACAGATATTTTGCCTGTCAGTCTGGCTAAGAGGCTCTGCTCTGAGTCTGGAGCATTGCCCAGATAAGCCAGCCAAATTCGTATTTATTTAGTTAGATTAAATGACAAAGACTTTGAGTCAATACACCTGTGGGTAATTAACCTGGTTGCCCTCCCCCCAAGAGAGCCATCCTGCCTGCCAATGATCAAAGGTTAGTCTTAGCAACACATGAGTAAACAAGTTATTTAGATAAACTCCCTTACATTATTTTGTACCTACTTTAAGCTATCTACTCAAGGTAAAGATTAGGCTGCCTTCATGCCAGATCTATTACTGAAGCTATGCAAACCTTCCAGCCTTCCAAGGTTTGTGTCTATATTCTATAATTTCATCTTACAATGTTTCTAACCACACTGACTGATCCCCTACAAACATGATATCTGAAAAGACATTAATAAGCTAGAAAAGCTATGAATGATGCTTATCAAGATAACAAAATCTTAGACATAAATTAGCTAGTACAAAAGTTAGGCATGCATTTAAAAGAAAGCAGATTAAGAAGATGGTTGAAGTCCATCAAAATTATGAAAGTACATGTCATAAGATGGTAGAGAAAGTAAAGCTAAACAAAACGATTTGAATGGGAATATAATTGGAACTAGAGAAATTTACAGAGGGCAAAAAATTACCTTATTGAGAATCGTTAAAGTTAAGAGTAACTGTACATAAAATTAGTGTGAAGCTAGGACGTGAGAAGTCTTGTGAAAACCCATGAAGAGGTGGAGGACACCTGAATACTAGAAGTCAAAGTGAAAAGAAGGCCCATTGGCTGGCATGCAGGAGATGTCCAATAAATACTTGCTGAAAAAATGAAATCAGTTCCAGGACATGCTCAGCCCAGGGTCAACAGATGGGAATCTCTTGTGGTTAGAATGTAGTGAATAGGTTAATTGATAGTAGGCAGAGATAAAATCAGATTATAACGAGTAGGAAATAGGTAGAAGGAGGGGAGCAAAGGGGCAAGCTGGCAGCACTGGAGGTGGGAACAATCAGGAAAATCCCTCATGAACCCTAGAAAAAGAAAGTTATAATTAGTTTGAGATACAACACATGTCATATCAAAATCTGAGCTGGAAACTTTGCTGCCTTTCCTGCACTTGTAATTCTATAGTCTTTCTAAACAACTGTAAATACTTTTGCCAAATGAATTGGGAAGAAAAATATGTTGGTGTAATCAGTTCGCCGTAAAGATATTTGTAGATAAAGCAAGAAGTACACTGTGAACGTGTTTCTATGTTTCTATATGGAGACCCTGATATGAGAATGAGTAGGACTGTGGGCTGTTAAGACAACAACCTGGTAACCTTCACATGTAGGTATGTAGGAAGTAGTATTTGTCCTCTCCAGTTGAGAGTAGGACTAATAATCCTGTCTACTTCTGACTTATTAATTTTAAATGGTTTCAACCAAGAGAAATGTAACAGCCTTTCAAAATGTTTTCTCTGTTATCACAGCTTTGGTGTTATCTGTGGTATGAATCTATTCAACACCAGCAGCAAAAATGAAACCCTAATTTAGTATTGAAATTATATGGGGTCAGGCATGGTGGCTCATGCTTGAGACCAGGAGTTTGAGGTTATAGTGAGCTATGATGCATTCCAGCTGGGCAACAGAACGAGACCCTGTCTGTGAAAGGGGGGCGTGGGGCGGGGGAAAGAGAGACAGAGAAAGGAAATAAATAAATAAATAAATAAATAAATAAATAAATAAATAAAACAGCTCTTTGCTCTGCAGTTACACTGCCTTTCAGAGGTCTGTATCTACAACTGAACCACCTAGATAGGAAGACTGAAAACATCCAAAAACTACACAGAACAATGATCTACAGTGTACATTTGCTTTGGATATAGACTGAACTTAAGGTGAAGGCTTAATGAGTATAAAAACTGGCTAATTATAGTACTATATTGTTTTGAGGAGTTTTGTTTGTGTTTTCTTTTTTTCTCTGTAGAAGGTAGAATGTGATCTAAACCTTGAAAGATGTGTTGGGTGAATTTTTTTCTTTGTTTATTATACCTTAAGTTCTGGGATACATGTGCAGAACATGCAGGTTTGTTACATAGGTATACATGTGCCATGGTGGGATAACATTAGGAGAAATACCTAATATAGATGATGGGTTGATGGGTACACCAAGGCCCTCACCTCTTAATACCATCACACTGCCATTAAGTTTTAACACCTGCATTTTAGAGGGAACACATTCAAATCATAGCAGTGTTTCCAAATAGTACTGTCCAATATAACCAGAAGGTACAAATTGATTAACAAAATCCTTTGAAAAACTTTTAATATATTTAAAAACTGTATTAAAAAGATGACTTAGTCCCAATATTTTGAGTGTACTTATTACACAGATCAAAATGCATTGAAATTTTAAAAAAGAAAAATCAGAAATAACATATGGCCTTTGGATAGCAACAAAAGCACAATTCAAAGTAATTAAAATCCTGACTATAGATGTTATTTAGGACACAGTTCCCTTTATCTGTTGAAGTTATCTCCTAGACATATTTAAATCCTGAGTTATTCCATCCTGTACGTAGATAAGGCAGGAAAAATTCAGGTGCTATCCTAATAAAAAGACACATTGATGTTTATTAATGCCTTACATTTGAATGATGAGTGTGTGGCTGAAGCTTTCTGAATGTGGCTTCTTTTCATCCAGAAACTTAAAAATGAAAGACAAGTTATGCGTCCCCATACACCCAAATATAATGGTGAGACAAGAATTGCAAAACTTATCTGTACATATTTGCAAGTAATTATACTGGGCACAATTGCAATGCCATGAAATTTTACAGTGTGTACTCACATAAGGTTCTAATAAATGTAAAGAATATGGTTCAGCTGCAGACAGAAAGCTTAAGCAAATATGGAGAGGTCCCAGTGCCTCAGGTGCAGCTCCTAGAGAACTTTCTCAATTATAGAAAATATGTTTTGTGTTTGGACAGTGAATTCTCAGGATATTTCTAAGATACATTAGTCACAAAAGCCAAGGTTCAAGTTTACTGGGGGATCTTTTATACCCCATTAGTAGCATAACGAATATCCTGCTCTATAACCAAAGCAGGTTTTAATGATCGGTATATACATTTTCAGTAACAAACTTGACAACTTACGTATCCCAGTAGGGAATTTTCAGACTTTAAACAAATATAAGCCGTTGTCTAGTATGTTTCATCCCTATCTTGGCCAAAGACAAGTACTTGAGTTCCAGGCATTTCTCGCTATCACTATAGAGCTACCATAGACTATATTCATATTAATCCTACCCACTTCAAAAATAAAAGAACAGTAAGCACATAGCAGTCCCTGATCCTGCTGCAGTACAACTATTTTCAGTTCTCTGAAAAAGGAAATGTGTTTTCATTAGGGCCTGGTTCTTCTTCCTGAGAGTTCATTTCTATTACATTATTCTCTCTTAATATAGCCTGCATTCTCTCAGATCTTGTTTCTGCCCTCGGAAACATATTTTTATTTTCCATAAGAAATTGTGCGTATTTGCAGCATTTTTTTTCTTAGCCTGCAAAAATTTAGAAGCTCAGAAATCTTTTGGCAATATGAATAATCACAATTCCATTTAGCCCAGGCTGATGGCTTTTGGCTGATACAACTTTCATACAATATTTGTGGGATTTCTATGTATCAGAAATCTTATCACCTCATGTGACAAAATCCACATCCACAACTGTTTCCTAGACAGACTGATTTCACTTCTGAGTGGCTTGTCAAACAGCTTAAGAACAATTCCCATAAGATTCTTTGAGCTTCTTTAGTGTTTGTGGTTGTTGTTATAGACCTAATGCATCATCTACTAGGTACCGCCTTAAATCTTCCAGCGTTCTTGAGGTTCTGGCAGCCACATCCTTAATTTGAGCTTTGGCTCCAGGCCTCATATTGCTTTAAGGATACATTATTAGCAGAGAAGAGTAGTGATGATAGACAGTTATTTTTCCAAACTAGCAAGTCCTATCTCTTCTATATTGTCTTTAAATTTGGCATGCAAATGGAGGATTGCTTCTTTATCTCATCTCTCTCTCTTGCAGCTATTTATCATTCACAGTTAATAAAGCCAACCTGCCACTTGCAGTATTTGGTCCTGTGATCTCCTTAGTCAGATCTAAACCTCATTGAATACATTTACTTTTTTCCAAGTTACCACACATGACAGTTTGGCCATTTCTATTTTAACTGTGTAACATGGACAGGTAGAGATGGGAAAAGCATAGAAGGAACCACCAGCAAAGGCTGAGAAAATAGCAAGCCAATGGTTTTCAGGGCTGAAAAAGCAGTGAGGTAGGTAATTGTCACAGCATTCTGGAAAATGGGATGCCTGTCATCTTCTCCCAAAAATGCCACATTTTAGGGGGGTGTGTGTGTGTGTGTGTGTGTAGCAGCATTCTTCTTCCAGGTAACAATTTTTATACTAGTTAGCTATTGCTGAGACATTAACCATCCCAAATCTTAGTAGCTGAAAAACATGGCCATTTATTTAGATCGTAATTCTGCTGTTACTCTGGTCTAGACTAAGTTCAGCTGATCTGACCTGGCTTGCTCATGTGTCTGCAGATGATTGACAGATTGGCTACAAGTGAGTTATTTCAGATGGCCCCACTCCCAAATCTGGAAGCTGACTGGGATGACAATGGCAGTTACCCCTGTGCTGTCCATTACCCAGCAGACCAATTCAAGCTCCTACTGATGGTGGCGATGGCCCATCTGGAACAGCTAATGTGAGGACACAGGCTGCAGTGGGGGAGGTACGGCTGGGGCTGTGTGCTTCATAAAGCCAGAGGGAGTCAGGAACAGGTGAGAGGTACGCCCCCTACCGAGTTGGCAGGCCAGAGCCCTGTGGTCCCAGGCACAGCTGCAGCCACCGGCATCCCTGTGCTCTCTGAGGTCCAGGAAGCCTCCTGCCCCCACAGGCTTGAAAGTGCCTGCTCCCACTCATTGGCCTCTCCCTGCTCCCAGCACCCACTCCAGAATGGAGCAAAGTTGTGGCTAAGCCTGGACAGTGTCCCAACCTGTACGAGCGTACGTGCTCAGGGAACATTGACACATCAGCCCCCTGCCACCTTGCCCCCCTCCAGACTTTGGGTACTGACAAGCGTGGTAGGGGGATCTGGGTGGGGGGCGGTAAGGGCATCTCAGCACAGGCCTGTGGGTGCCTCTCAGTATAGACAGTCCAGGTGCCATGGATGGCATGTTAATAGCAGACAGGTTCCTGGGGAGGAAGAGATGGGTTCCCAGTGAAACTCTACCTTCAGTCCAGAGACAGCCTGAAACCTGGAGACCAGGCTGCCAGTTCCTGGGGGAACCTGCAGCCTGGAGTGAGAACTTCATTGAGGACCATTTGGCCAATTGAATGGTGCTTTTTCCAGGTCTGCCTGTGGCTACCCATGGGCCAATCAGCATGGACTTCCTCACTTCTGGGCACATAAAAACCCCAGAATCAGTCAGGCTCAGACATTCTTTGGGACAACCTGCCTGCTTGTTGTCCGCATACTTCATTTTTCCTGGACACAGGACAAGAACTTGGGCCCACCAAATAGCAGGACTGAAACAGCTGTTACACAAACAGTGCTGAAACACGACCCCTTGCTCACCATGTTGTGAGTAACAAGAAGGAGAGAAAAGCTGCAGCCATTCAGGGACCACAGACCTAGGGACTCCACAAGCCAGGGCTTGTGACATCCTCTTTGGGACTCTGCAGTTCCTGGCATCTCCAAGCTTCTGGGTACCATTGTGTTCCTCTCATCCAGATACAGGTGCCTGTTGCAGAAACCACTCATGATACATCTGGTCCAGCCACGGCCTTGCATGGAGCTGGTACCTGTGCCAAGGCCTGGAGCTGCATACCCCACCACAGCAGCTGGCTGACTTGCTGTGCCCAGTGGCCAGACCCCATGCCTGCTCACTCACACACCCCTCACCACTCCACACCTGGTTCACCCTCGGCAGCTGTGGGATCCAGACCAGTAGTGTGAGCTGAGCTCAACCTGCCAGACCAAGTGGGTGGAACGAGTCCAGCAGGCCCAAGCAAAATGGGTAAAGGCACCACCGGCCACAGAGGTTGACTGGAAAAGCAACACCCTAAGGATCGTGTGACACTACCATGACCGATTGATCCCAAAACTATCAAGAAAAATTTGCAAGCTGATATGGTTTGACTGTGTCCACTCCAAAATCTCCATCTTGAATTCCCATATGTTGTGAGACAGACCCTGTGGGAGGTGATTGAATCCTGGAGGCAGGTCTTTCCCATGATGTTGTCATGACAGTGAATGAGTCTCATGAGATCTGATGGTTTTAAAAATGGCATTCCCCTGCACAAACTCTCTTTGCCTGGTGCCATCCATGTAAGACATGACTTGCTCCTCCTTGCCTTCACCGTGATTGTAAGGCCTCCACAGCCATGTGGAGGTATCATATACTCTATATGATATAACTCTGTTAACGATGAAGCAAAGACAAATTTGATGGTCCATGCAAAAAAGTTGGATTGGGCCTAAAATGCTTTCTACTCCCTACTGAGCACCTCTTCTGCTATTAGTATTAACTACAATGTTATTAAAATGTCACAATTTTAGTGAATAGTTTTGTGAGAGATATTTGCTGCTACTGCTCATATCTTTTGAAAATTGCTCAGTCTCAGGTGTCTTTATCAGCAGCATGAAAACGGGCTAATACACAAGCTTTTGGGGGTTTACATTAGGAACTTAAAGTTACATCCACCATATTCTAATGGTCAAAATAAGTCACATGGCCAGGAAAGAGTGAGGACTTAAACTTCACATCTTTGTCTTTTTGGAAAGGAGCTACCCACTTTGGGTCTCTAAAACATCCTCTGGGCAGTTTTTGATTACGTCGCTGATCAGAGGAAACTACAGGACCCCTACTCTTTATCCTAACCTGATATTTCTAAATGGTCTTGGAAACTAGAACTTGCGTAGTTTTCTACTGATACGAGCTTTTTCCTTGATCAGCAAAATCACAAAACTTGTGTTAAAAAGTATAATTTTCATTCTCACATGCTGAAAGAGAAACATATAGAACCACATTATAAACAAGGGTTTCAGGGTGACGGAAAAGAAAATACATAATTTATTGCTTATTAAATTTTTAGCTTATATGCTACACATTTTTTTTCGGTGGGCTAAGATTAATTATATGTTAAGTAACACTACATAACAAAAAACTCGGCTGTAAGTAACATTTGATTAATGAATGAATATGAATGTGTGTGCTGGATGGTCATTCTTTTATAATTTATCCTGAATGATTTGTGCTTTCTAAAATCTTTGAGGTGAAAAATGTGACAGTTCAAATTTAAGTAGTAGTATCCCAGAATGATGAAATTGAGATAATGTAATGAATGAATGACGACCTGTGGACAGTCCAATATTAGAAGCCAAAGATAGGATGAATGATATAAATTCATTTCAATAACATTTAAATACTCACTCTTCAGGACATAAAACAATAAAGATACACAAGTACATCTTCATGGTACTATTGAAAATCTGAATAACAGTTTTTCTTCTCGTGTTTACTCTCTGTTGCTACGTAAACCTCCCTTCTGAATATGCCACCTTGTGGACTTTGGGGTTTCCACAAAACTGCTTTTAAGTGTGAATTTGAGAACCATGTAGATAAATGTGTTTAGAATATTTTCTTTTTCAGGTTTATGAGAGGTATCAAAACTACCCTAGTCGTAATTAGAATGTAACACTTTTATTTTAGATTATCAGCATAGTAATAGTTTTCATTTGTATATTGCTGTATGTTATATACTTTAATTCATAGAAATATCTTCCTATTTAGAATTAAAATAGTAAAGTTCAGTAACTAGACCAATATGCTAATTTGCAAGGGCTGCTTTGATAAAGTATCACTAACTGGGTGGCTTAGAACAACAGAAATGTATTGTTTCACACTCCTGGAGGCGAGAAGTTCGAAATCAAGGTGTTGGTAGGGCAATGCTCCCTGTGAAGGTGCTAGGGAACAATCCACTCCAGACTTCTCTTCTGGCATCAGGTAGTTCTTTGACTTGTGGTAGTATAATCTTCACATGGCGTTCCCCCTGTGTACATGTCTATTGACTTTCCAAGTTTAAGTAATCTTATTTAATTCCCTTAAAATGTTATATTAGGATTTGCAATAATATGTATTAAAGTTGATTTTTTTAAAAAAATTATCAGTGTTTATAATCAACCAAAATAACATTTTGGTTTGTGTGTGGCAAAGCATAGACACCACATGTGCTACTTTTGGGGTGCTCATTGTTAAATAATTTTATTTGTAAATGCGTCTTTGT
Organism: Homo sapiens; assembly: GCF_000001405.40. Taxonomy (NCBI): domain Eukaryota; kingdom Metazoa; phylum Chordata; class Mammalia; order Primates; family Hominidae; genus Homo; species Homo sapiens. Next base: position 70,383,634 of record NC_000013.11, on the reverse strand, counting down.
GGAAAGGTATACAAATATAAATACAACTATTGAAAGGTATAATTATCCGGGCCTTTGGTAAAAAATAAAAGAAAATTACCTAAAATCTGATTGTGGTGAAAATCTAGGATTTACAATAACTACAATTAAGGTCCCTATGGCTTTAAGACTACTAAAGCATACTGGTTGAATATGATAAATAATTTTTGAAGTTTTACTGATAGGCAAACATGATATCAATTTGTCTTCATTATCAGTAGCAGGAGACTTGACACTGATGTGAATATGACTACCCTATATGATATAACTCTCTTAATGATGAAGCAAAGACAAATTTGAGGGTCAATGGGAAAAAGTTGGATCGGGCCTAAAATGCTTTCTACTTCCTGCTGAGCACCTCTTCTGCTATTAGTATTAACTACAATGTTATTAAAATGTCACAATTTTAGCAAATAGTTTTGTGAGATACATTTGCTGCTACTGCTCATATCTTCTGTGAAACTCACAACATGAAAAAATTAGCATCAATTCTTCATCCTGTAAAGGAGATAAAATTAACTTTGTGAAGAGATTCTCTTGGGCTGTTTCAAATGAATATATTTATTTAATGCATTGCTGCTCTGGTGTTTAAATAGTTAGAAAAGTAAAACATGTTATGGACCAAAAACAAAAATCCTTAGATAGATGTAGATATTTAGACTTAGCAGCTCTATAGATGTCATCGTTTATATAACCTTTAATAAGTCATAAACTTCTAAACAAAATAATGAAACTTTGTTCTAGAAAAATTGACACGTACCCTATAACAAAGTTTTACCAAAAAAAGTCATGGATTTTACGGACTATCTGTAGACTCTGCAAATCTACTATCTGTAGATACCCGATTTCAGGCCTCTCTGCAGGCCTCTGCTAATTGTGTACATTGTGTGTGTATATACATATATATATATATATATATATATATATATATATATATCCCTATAAAATAAAACACTCTGAACCAATCAAATCCTTTAAGATTTTTGAGGAAGCTGAAATTCAAGAACTTTAATAAGGTTTTATAGGGGATACAGTAGAATTTAAAAAGATAATTTGCAAAAACCATTGTGTTGAATTGAATATGAAAAGTAATATTAAGTTTTTGTTTTAAAATTTTTTGATGAACAATCTACTTACAAGTTGTGAGAATTGTACTTGAACACTGTTATTTACTTCATGGATTATATATGTCACGTAGTATAAGCAAAAGAGTGAATATTTTAAATACAAAATGAATAACCTTTTATTATCATAGTATCCATTAATCCTAGAATATTGATTAGCTCAACACAAAATAGTGTCCTTCACAAAGAAATATTAGATAAAACTAATTAAGCTGTGCTTCTAATTAGCAAATAAATTTTGCTATGACAGAATTTAAGAACAAAATAAGAAAGAGCAAAAGCATATTTAAGCCTTGTTAAAAATATTTGTCACCAGAGTAGAGCAATAAATTCTTATGATACTTTGACATTATTTACTCACATTCAATTTTATCTGATTGGTGTTGAGTTAATCATCAAACAAAAATATACTACTTAATACAGCCAATTATATACAAGTAGGCTTTGAATAACTGAAAGGTGCAACATTTTAGAAAGTGTTGACTATACAGGTAGTTAAGGTAGATTTCTTGACTCTGCTTACCTGTTTTCAGGACCAGTAAATCAGTCATAATGATAATTTAATGATTATAAAGTACATTTTGTCCACTTAAATAATACAATAAATAAGGAAATAAATGTTGAAGTGTTATTGAAAATACTCTTTTAATTCAACCATGTATTAAAAATTATGTAGGTTCTGCTACTTCTCTGAACTAATTACCAGTGTCATTTCCATAATTATGTACCATATTCATTTCACAGAGCAACATTTAAAATGGAAATAACATAATTTATCATACCCGCTTCAATAAACTGTATAGTTGAAAATATGCACGAATAAATTTTAAGGTATACGAGCTCTTGAATCAGTGGTGTCACAAAATGTCTGGGAAGTAAACATGAATATTGTTAAGTTAGTTATTCGAACCTTGAGCTCATGACTTTTTGTACTCCTTTATGTAAATTCAAAACAGTAAAATAAGTTTCATGCAAATTTTTCTATTCTGAAATCTGTGATTATGTAGATAAAAACAGTTTAATTTTACCTTTTCAAGGAGATATTGATATAAGCATTATGGTCTGTATTTCAAGAAAAATGCTTACTTTTTGATAAACTTTGTAAAGCACTTTTAAAGCTTGAGAGTGACTTCTCATATGAAAGAAGTAACACAATGAATTTAACATATTCTTCAGTAATGTGATAGTTCAGAAACAAACATTTCTTGAGCTGGGGCAATAAGAGCATAAGTTCTAGAGAAGCAATGTGATTTTAAGTATATTAAGTATATTAGGATATCATTTAATCCTAAAAATTAACACAAATTAAGGGCTTGGCAGAGACTCGGAGAAAAGTAAAAAAGATTATAAATATATTGGGAAATAGAGTTTGATTATAACGAACTGTCTTTCCTGCTCCCATCTCTCCCATGCTCTGCACTCTAGTTGCCAGAACTGGAATCCATAAAATCTCACAGGCTAAACATTAACAGACAATCTGGAACTAGATTATAGTTGTAAAGTTCCATTAATGCAAATCAGCTTACTCTATTTGCCAGGCTTGTTTATCTGCTTTATCAGCCAAGAGAGTTAACCAGGTTCTTCTAGAAAGGGATCCCTTTCCTGTTCTGATGGTTAATACCAAGAGTCAACTTGATTGGATTGAAGGATGCAAAGTATTGACCCTGGGTGTGTCTATGAGGGTGTTGCCAAAGGAGATTAACATTTGAGTCAGTGGACTGGGTAAGGCAGACCCACCCCTAATCCGGTGGGCACAATCTAATCAGCTGCCAGAGAATATAAAGCAGGCAGAGGCCAGGCGTGGTGGCTCATGCCTGTAATTCCAGCACTTTGGGAGGCCGAGGTGGGTGCATCACCTGAGGTCAGGAGTTCAGGATCAGCCTGGCCAACATGGTGTAACCCCATCTCTACTAAAAATACAAAATTAGACAGATGTGGTGGCACATGCCTATAATCCCAGCTACTTGGGAGGTGGAGGCAGCAGAATCATTTGAACCTGGAAGGCAGAGGTTGCAGTGAGCGAAGATCACGCCATTGCACTCTAGCCTGGGCAACAAGTGAAACTCTGTCTCAAAAAATATAATACAATAAAATAATAAAGCAGGCAGAAAAAAGTGAAAAGGCGAGATTGGCCTAGACTCCCAGCCTACATCTTTCTCCTGTGCTGGATTAATCCTGCTCTCAAACATCAGACTCCAACTTCTTTAATTTTGAGACTCGGACTGGCTCTCCTTTCTCCTGAAGCTTGTAGACAGCCTATTGTAGGACCTCGTAATCGAGTAAGTTATTACTCAATAAACTCCCCTGTGTATATATATCCTATTAGTTCTGTCCCTCCAGGAAACCCTAATACACCTGTTTTAGCTAGACTTAGAATTCTGGAATGGAATTTCACTCCCAGGCCTCAGCCTTCATTCCCAACTGGCAGACCTTCCTAATGTTCCCCCTTTTACCGGAATCGCAGCATATTGCCTGCTTTCAGATTCCCATTGCTATATTACAAACATCTGCAGAATATCCCTATTAGCTTTGCCCTTCCAAATATGTTGACATAAGAGATTGTCTCTCTGTCTAGGCACTGATCCTTGGTTGCCTTTTGCTGGTCACTGGATTTATTAGAAAACATGACTTTTTCTCATTAAGTGATGCTGAACTAATTTAATAAATCATTTATTAGTTTTTTTAATTGAAGATAGATTAGGTGACCTAAATCATTTTCTTTGTTCTCTCTGACCAATACTTTTGATTTTTTTTTAAATTTGGGGATTCTTGGTAAACACAAATAGCATCAGTTGTAACTAAGAATGCATATAAAATAATTTTGTCTCATTTACCTAGAATTATTCTGAGTGAGAAAGTTCAGTAATTTTATCTTAATCTTTCCACGGCTTACTTTTTGAAACTATAAAATAGTAATTTATAGGATTGTTTAAAGGACCAGTTAATTTAAAATTACATTTTGTAAAATATACACATATATTGCATAAACTATATTTATAAAATTTTAATTTTTACTAATAAAATATTTGCATGTCAAAATGTATCCAGAATTGTGCTAGGTCCATAACTGAAATAGATGACATTGTCAGCCCCTGACTATCTTGCAGATTAGTGTAAAGACCGATATTAAAAAATAATTTCATGCATCTGATAAATACTGTAATTAAAATATGTGTAAGGTACTGTGGTCTAAAAAGGACATCACCAATGCATGGAAAGAGTACAGTCTTGCACGCTGTGGTACAATTTTGATTTTGCTCTCTAACTAGCAAGAAGCATTAAAAAATTTAAAACAAGCACATGAAATGCTGTGGACATTTAGTATATAAAAATAATTTTAATCCTGGTCCTCAAAATGTCACTAGACATTTAGGATTATTATAATCCTAAAATGAGTTAAAACGTGTGAAATTAATAGGTCTTTTTTAAAGAAAATATATCTTTCAGATGTAGAACATTTGAACAATATGTTACACTTAGTTTTCTTTCAGAGATTTAGAATCCCAGGTATTCAGCAATCACTTTAATGTCTATATAGCTTTTAATAAGAATAGTACCGTAATTCAACAGTAATAGTAGTTTAAACCCTAACAAAAAGGTAGGATCCAAGAGAATATATCAACTCTTCTTTAGTCCTCTTAGTTCATCTCTGACTGAAGCCATTTTGTGTTTTCTAATTTCCTGTGTGATAGGCATTTTCATGCAGGGCTGTGCATCACGTTGATTCTGCAAAACCCAATTTTGACTGGCACGCCAGTACTTTATAGCTCGACGAGCAGACAGGGAGACTGTCTCATAATCTATTGTTAGATTTCAAAAGTTTTGCAAAGAAAAACAGAAATGCACAAATACTTTTTATCTTTTTAGAATCTTAGGACATCGTTCACCCTAAATGAAGGCAACATATACGGAAAACCTCCCCCACAAAACATACACTTTTATTAACCAGTAACACCAATTTTCCTAGTGTACATCAATTTTCTCTCATTTGAATAATTGTAATTCACATTTATCTGCCCCTTCGCTCATTTTATAGCTGATTTCATTGAAAATTGAAAAATGTGAAAAAGCATCTTTTGAAAATCAGTGTATATGAAATTAGAGCTTCAAAATACATAACATGGGGATACTTTATAACATATTGGAAAAATAAGGAAAAGGTAAAATTATATTTTATATACTCAATTTATATTCTAAAACCATTATCAGTTAGTATAAACTACCAACAAGCCATTTTACTTTTTAATGTCTATTCTCATCGATAACATATATATATATATATATATATATATATATATATATCTATATATATATATATGCTGCTATATTTGCTAATCACTATTTCACTTCATTTAACTCAGGCAAGTAAGTTTAGTATGTAGAAATGTCTGGAATAATACCTGTCTTGTAGTTTGTCTTCAAAAAACTCATCTTCCTTTTGCGTAGTCCCAATGTCTAAATATTTCATCCTTTCATTAAAGATGGGATGGCAATAATGATTATTTTGAGTATAACAACCATCTTTTAAAAAAATTCTTTCCATATGCCCAACAATCTGCTTTTAACTTTACATGTATTTCTCATAACTACTTTGTGTCAATGTACTATAAAATATATAATACATTTGTGTATCTACATAATTATTCAATTAGTAGACAACTCTTTTTAACTACCATATAGCAGAACATTT